>NC_000012.12:75490431-75641946 GCF_000001405.40 Homo sapiens
TGGCTGCGCAGTTCAATTTTGCCCTAAAGTTTCTGGCTTTGACGCTCTTTCCAATGGAGCACATTTTATATGCAACTACGGACCAGGGTAAGTGCCTGAATCAACCGGTTTATAGGAAACGCCCCCCCCCCCCCGCAAAAAAAAACAACAACAAAAAAAAACATTTTAGCAGTATTCCTCTTCATTATAGAAAATCTGGATAAAGTATAAATAAAAAATTAACATAACCTTTAATTCTTCTGCCCAGAGATATACTTAATTAACATTCTGGTACATTTTTCTTGGAGAGAGAGAGGGTGTGTGTGTGTGTGTACATCCTTTATATATACTACCTAAATACATACGCACATATTTTTAAGAGTGGTAAGACTAAAATATTCATCAGGGACATAAATTGTATATGGTAATACCACAAAGTGGAAGAACTGATGTTATATTTATTGGTTTATTAGAAACTTGGCAATTTTACACAATTTTCAAAGCAAAACAGATTCCTCAACTTATATAACCTATTTCATTTACTTTTGACAGTTGTTTTTAAAACAGATATAGTTCCCACTTTGGGAAACAGGGCAAACACCTTCCTCCTACTTTCTTTAAACTTACATATGTGTGCTTGTGTCATACACATATTTAGAAATCTGATCATACTGAAAATATACATTTTCTATTTTTCACTTAAAATTATGCTGTGAAAAATTTTCCTTTTCAAAATTTTAAGTGATTTTAATCATAAAAATGATAGATTGTTTATATAATGCTTACAATGCTCTCAGCACTGTTAAAGTGCTTCACATATATTAACTTAATCTTCACCAGAAGTTTATGAGATGGCTCCTATTACTACCCCTGTTTGGCAAATGAGAACAGCAAGGCACACACGGGTCAGCAACCTGCCCAAAGTTCTACAGTTAGTGACTATCACTGATGGACTTTGATCTGGCTGTCTAGCTCCAGAGTCCATGCTCTTGATGGTACCACCATCCTGTTGAAGAATTTAGATTGTTCACTATATTTTCATTTAATATATGATGAACAACCTCATATATGTATCTTCAGTCACTTCTATTTCCCTATAATTCCTTGAGATACTAGCACGTAAAGACTGTGACCATTTTTGTTTTAAGTACATATTGCCAAATTACATTCCACCATTATATCAATTTGTATTTCACCATCAGTACTAGGTATTATAATTTCTTAGTATTTTCTAATTTGATGGAAATGGCATTTCATTTGCTTTCTTTTGCATCTCTGTGATTACTAGTAATTATAAATTTCTTCACATAATTGTCTATTTATATTCCTTTTTCTGTGAATCATGTGGGCTGACCATTTTTCTACTAGATTTTCTTATTTATAAAAGTTTTTATATTTTAAAGGTTTTTAACCATTTGCAATATATATAATGATCTTTAATTTGTTGCCTTTGAATTTTTGGATTCCTGGAGATTGGCTGAAAGAAAGCCATTTCCCTGGTGTAATGTGCAGAAGACATGCTCGATACTCTGACTGAGTGCTGTAGGTGTGAAGGAGGAGACAAAGCGTCATTCTGAAGATGACAGCTTTGACTTAATATCTTAAGAGTTGGAAAATAAAGAAAACCCAGAAAAAACTAGACAAAGCCATAATTCAGTTAGTGGTAACTTTTCATGACTTTTTTTTTTTTTTTTGAGACAGGGTCTCTCACTCTGTCACCCAGGCTGGAGTACAGTGGCTCGCTTACGGTTCACTGCAGGCTTAACCTCCCAGGCTCAAGCAATCCTCCCAACTCAGCCTTCCTAGTACCTGAGACTACAGGCACATGCCACCATGCCCAGTTAATTTTTTTGTAGAGACAGAGTTTTGCCATATTGCCCAGGCTCATCTCCAACTCCTGGGCTAAAGTGATCCACCTGCCTCAGCCTCCCAGAGTGCTGGGATTATAGGCATGAGCCACTACACCCGGCCTCATATGACATTTTTAATGGTTAAGATACAATTAATTTACTGTGTGACCCTGGACAAGTTAACTCTGAATCTCAGTTTAACCTCCAATAGATCAGGGTTACAGGACCCATCACTTAGAGTAGCTATGAAAGTGACAAGAGAAGGCTTTGTAAAATACTAGGTATATATAATGCTTGGCAATAGTGAATGTTTTGTAAGTATTCATGATTTTTATTCATTAAAGTATAAATGTAAATTTTCCTGGTTTAGACTCACTTATCTTCAGAGTTATAAACAATATTAAATTATAAAACTTACAACCAAAGTTATAATGCTTCCATAAAGACTAACTTCAAATATTCATTTATTCAACAAATATTTGTTTTACTGAGCTCCAAAGGAGAACAGGGCAGTCTCTGTCTTTATGAGAGTAATATTTATGGGGCAAACAGATAATAAAAATACAAGTAAAATAACTGCATCATTATGGGGCAATTAAGGAACTATAAATAATACTGTAATAGAAACTATCAATAGGCAAGGCCCCTGTTTAGAATAATCAGGGAAGGGCTTCTTGTGTTATATTTAAGCTTAGGCATGAAGAATGAGAAGGAATCAGACATAAGAACTTCTGGAACAGCTGTCTAGTGGAGAAAAGAACAGCAAAACTTCCGTGAAGAAAAGTTTGGCAAGTTTAAACCACAGAGACTGGTGCCCTCGGTCTGCTAAACAGATGAAACGGGGGGAGGAAGGCAGTTGCAGATCTAGCGGGAACTTTTAGATCATGACAAAGTTTACATAAGAAGTCATTCAAGTATATTAAGCAGGGGAGCGATGAGACCTTTAAATTTGGACATCAGTCTGGATGGAAAATGGATTAGAGGAGCATAAAAGGTAAAACAGAGAGACCAGTTAGGAATGTCCTCATTTCCCTTTGCCCTCTGCCCTCTGAGGTATTATTTTCCTATACACAAAAAGTTGTAGGCCCCCATTCCACATAATCTTAGGAAGTCCAGTATCCTCCTCAATATTTCTGATACCTCAGAATGGGGTCTGGGATGCTTAATCTTCCAGTTGCCTGTAATACTCTCCTCTTCATTTCCCCTGGGCACCATGAACAAGGGTATGGTGTGTAACAGATCTTTACTCAGAGTGGATTAGTGGAGGAGAGGATTATAGCACAGAAGAGGAAATAACTTTGACCACAAGATAGTCAAGATAGTACCAGTGTGCTTAGGCCGTCACTGCCTTAGGGACCCTTACCCATATTTATCTTTTTCTTTAAAGATTTGTCTTCGGTCTTCCCCTGGGTCCCATAACCCCAACCCTCTTCTCTCTCAGGCTACCAGGGAAAACATTGAAATGTCCTGTTGCTTTATTGTGCTGAATACTTTAGGTCCCACAGTCTTAATGACTCCCATCTAGACAAATCCAGGCCTTTCCAGTAGCATGTTTCTCCCAAGATGAATACTACCATTTCCACAGACCTCACCGACTGTCTTGGTTTTTAGCTTATTTTTAAGTAGCATTTTTTACCTTTTCCTTTACAGTTTGGAATGCACAACTAAGTATCATAAATGACTTTATTAAAATCATTCTAGAACTTAAACCACTTAATACTGTGCTTATTAACAATGAAAGACATTCCAATGATTAATGTCTATTTTGGACATCTTTTGAAATTGCTATCAGAATTTCTACTATATTACCTTTTTTCCATGGTGTAGAGTAAGCAGAGGGCTAATTAAATTTCTGAAGCAACTTAAAATTTGGAGCAAAATGAGATAAGAACATAGATTTGGGGTTGGAAATAAGGTATCGTTATAAAGTTGTGTGTCTAAGGTGAGAGTTCTCAACTTTGGAGGTAATTGTAGAGTGCTGGGGAGAGGAGGACCATAAACTTTGATTAGAAAATAGTTTTATTTTTATTTTCACTAACCTCTATTAAAAATAACATTTCCTTTCATTATGAATGAAGACAACACTCCACCATCATATTAGCAATAAACGTGACTCTGACTTAGCAGTATCATCTTTGTAAATATCAGATATTTTCATACCACATTCCACTTGCTGCAGAGAACTCAAAATATAGTTTGTGTTCATCACTGCATTGAAACTAATAGCCCCCGGTAGATCTTAATAGAGAAGCACATATTACTTTATCACAAATCTTGTTTTAAACATTTTGATAACTATTTCAATTTAATTGGTTTCCTTTATAATCCTATGTATTTTATGCATTTAACAACAAACTATGTTGAGAAAGAGCCCATAGGCCTCACCAGACTGCCAAAGGGTACGATTACACAAAAAAGTTTAGAACTTTTTCCAAAAGCAGAGTTCCAAAAAAAATTAGTGCAATGGCAGGTTCATTGAGATAAATGTGCCCCCTCTCCCCATTACTACTATGAGGATATTTATGGGGATATAAAATGCTTGGATATTATTTCACTTTCTAGTCTGTGACCTTGGTCAATTACTTATACTCTGTGACTCAGCCTCTAGCTATATAATGGGTATAAATAGACAACAGTAACTTCCTCATAGGGTTTTTGTGAAGATTATTTCATTCAAGGTTGTTTAGAACAAAGACAAGCACATGGTAGTGCTCACTAATTAGCAGCTATTATTCATATCACATCTTGTATGTGAAAACAATTTGTACTTTAGAAATTCCCCCATACCATTATTTATTATTTTTTTGGAAGGCACCAGCCAAATGGCTCCTATCCAGTGAAAATTATGGAGGGCTGACCAACTGAGAATATTGAATGTGGGTCACCATAGCTTTTCTAAGATGGACAGTTTTTTAAATGGCAGTAATCATATAGGCCAGAGGGTAGGTAAAGAGAGGGAGCACAGCCCTGGAGTTAAATCCAGGTTTCCTCTGACTCTGAAGTGTATAAATTGTGATTAAAGGTATCTCTTACATCTTTTGTCTCATCTGTAAAACAAGAATAACTTCCTCTCAGAGCTGTCACAATTAAATGGGATGCAGATTAAAACAGGTGCATAGACACAGGTACATAGAATGAACTATGCAAATATTAGCAGCCTTCCATTTCTGCCTTCCTGTCTTCACTTCTATTACCAACTCTCTGGACCTTTGTACTTCACTCCACTATTCTTCTGGATTTAGTTAAGGATTCATAGTAAATTGCAATTTTAAAAAACCGAAAAACTTCTAATGGACATCCTTCTTCTGCTTTACAGAGGGAATTACCCAACTTGGCCATATAAGAGAGGAGCCACCTGCAGTGCCTGCCCCAATAATGACAAGTGTTTGGACAATCTCTGTGGTGAGTAAAAGGAACAATACACCAATAGAATAACATAATAGTAACATGTAACTTTCTACAGAATTAACAATGAAACCATGTTTTATCTTAACGGCTATCTTCAAGGAAACTGGCATCAAGTAGCAATTAAACCAATGGCTTACTGTTCTAGGAATACATTTAAGAGAAATTTAAATGTGAAAATCACGTTCTTTTTATTTAGTTCTAATTGGTCAAACAACAACAACAAAAAAAACTGTCAGAAACTGTAGACTAAGATTCCTAAGATTTGCTTATTTCAGCAAGATCAAAAATAAGTATAACAGGTCATCCAAACAAACAGAATTCTGTTTTCGTTTTTTTTTTTGTTTTTTTTTTTTGAGACAGAGTCTTGCTCTGTCACCCATGCTAGAGTGCAGTGGTGTGATCTCAGCTCACTGCAACCTCCATCTCACGGGTTCAGGCGATCCTCCTGCCTCAGCCTCCCAAGTAGCTGAGATTACCATGCCACCATGCCCAGCCTGGCCAACATGGCAAAAACCCCCTCTACTAAAAATACAAAAACTAGCTGGGTGTGGTGGTGGACGCCCGTAACCCCAGCTACTCAGGAGGCTGAGGCAGGACAATCACTTGAGCCCAGGAGGTGGAGGTTGCAGTGAGCAGAGATTGTACCACTGCACTCCAGCCTGGGTGACACAGTGAGGGTCTATCTCCAAAAAATGAAAATAAAATAAAGCTGCAACATGGCACTTTTTATTAGCCAGACAGCATTTAATGAAGAAGTGTAGAAGCTGCAAGCAGTTAAATTTCCAAGGATGTTTTACTAAACATCCAAGCAAAATTCTGCTTTGTGATTTTGAAATATTAGTAAGTGACCAAGAGTTTATTTCTTGTTCTTGTTCTAGACACAAACCCTTCCATCCCAGTATGTTTTTTTACCATGGTGTGAAGGGGAAACTTCAATTAAGCTGTGCAAAGCCTGTGGTACTTTCGTGTCCATATTTGTAACAAACTGAACTCAGAGCAGCCGGGCTAGAGTAGGGTGCTTAGAATAGAGGAAGGACAGAGTCGGCCAAGTTCCACTGCACGAAATTTAGTTTGGAAAAAAGTGTTCCATTGCTCATGTTTTATAAGGTCCCTTGCAGGCCTAAAATTATAAAATTCTATATATTAAACTGCTTGCTCTCCTCCTTCCCATTTAATGTTGAATACTTATCTTTACATACAGTCGTACTTTTGCAAAGTTTTCTGAGCCATTTTTCTCCCAGTCCAATCATTCTTTATTTCACTTATATCACTCTTGTGAAGAAAAGTAACATGTAGCCACAATGCAGATAATATCAAGGTATCAATGTATTCACTGAATTCTTCCTTTCACTCACTCTTCACTTCAGAACGTATATATTTCTTCCTTCCAAATTAACCAGTATACATAAGGGCTAAAACTATGGATTTCAGAACCAGTATGCCAAGTTTTGGTGCAATTTCCAGTTTGACCACTGTGACTTTGGGCAAGTTTCTGCTTCTATTTTTTTCAACGAAACAACCCAGTGAAAAAAATGTTTCCCTTTAAAAATCTAGGCAATTAGTAACACTACCACCACCACAATGACAAAAATACTTCTGGTTTTAGCTTTTGATCTTTGGTGATCTAACTTGAGATGCTCTTTAATCTTGGGGAATAACATTTAGAAGATTAAAGCTGTAGTCCAATAATGAAAACCCTTGGACTCTTGAGAAAACACATGCTAACTTGTATTTATAAGATGTGAAACTCATTACCCATTTACTTCAGATAAGTGCTCAACATCTTACAGATTGATCTTGTCACTAATTTCCTATTCTCAGAGCTAGATTTATGTAATTTGTTTTCATGTAAGTTTAGGCTTACTTGAAAGTATTCTACTCTTCGCACTAATACTGAATAAGTAAGATTTGTGACTAAAAAACTTAAGAATCACCATTTGACCTTTTATAAGGTCTGATGAAGGTAAAGGTTAGAGGATAAAAGCTTTTATTTAACAGATTCCTTCTCAGACAAATTATGGCAAGCACTGGAGCATAAATTCCTTCGTGGTATTCCTTCGTGGTCTCCTAGATACTGCTGGTAGTTCAATAAATACCCTTGGAGGCCAAATCAGGACTGTTTTACAAAATGTGCTGGGCATATTAGTGGTACATAAGATGATTTTAGCTAGTTCACAGATGTACATTTGTTTCAATAGTTGAATATTGAACATTTAAAAATATATATAAAAAAAAATAACTAGAACATCACACTCTTGATTTCATCGACATAACTGCCAAGAAAAGTGAGGGTAGCATATTTACAGTAATTCACCACAAAGCCCACTCACAGGTATGAAGACCAGGGATGCTCACCAGTACCCAGAGGACCAGATGATTGATGGGTTCTACCACGAGCATCTAATAGCGACTGCTGCAGAACTGGTGTGGAAAAGGTTTCTATTTTATAAAAGAAAGTATCCAGAAGGCTAAAGGCAGTTGTGGAATTTATTTCTTCCCAGTGCTCTGATTGTCAAAATTTGAATAAAGCTCAGTGAAAGGAGGACAGTAATTAATGACTTGATAGCCAAACATCGTAATGATGATTTAGTGATATACTAGACTGGATGAAAGAGAGGTCACTGTCTTTTCACTATGGATTCATCATAAACAGTATCATTCTTCTCAGGAAGAAACTTATTTTTAGAACTATATTTTAATAAATTTCTCACATTCTAATATTTAATTTTTATTTTTTAAATTTTATTACCTGCTAGGTATGATGTGTAAAATGATTTTCCATTTATAGTAATGGTATAGTTTCCTTTTTATAAAAGGTTTATAAAGTTTATGTAAAAAGTCAACTTAAAAATACCAAGTTAATTCAGTCAGTTCAAAAAGTTTTGAATAATTAAACTTGGAAAGTCACTGCAATAAAGCCAAAGCAAGTTAATGGTCATAATTATAAGACTTAGCTTTTTAAAATAAAACTCTCAACTGTGTCTACCCTTTTAATTTTTTTTCTTTCTTCCCCCTAACTTTACAGTTAACCGACAGCGAGACCAAGTCAAACGTACGTACATCAATCTTAAATTGTTTCATTAAGAGCTATGTGAATTCTGTCAGTGCATTATGAGGAACAATGTCTAAGAGGATATTCTATGTTTGTTTCACAGGTTACTACTCTGTTGTATATCCAGGCTGGCCCATATATCCACGTAACAGATACACTTCTCTCTTTCTCATTGTTAATTCAGTAATTCTAATACTGTCTGTTATAATTACCATTTTGGTACAGCACAAGTACCCTAATTTAGTTCTTTTGGACTAATACAATTCAGGAAAGAAAAAACCCAAAAACCAACCTCATTCACATATGGCTTTTTTTTTAACCAATAACAATTAGGTGTACTTCTATTTTAAAACATTTCAGAAAAAAATATATGTTATAGCAATACTCTTACTCAAAAGAAGAAATTTCCTAACTCTATCAGATAAACTCATCTTTAGTATAAATAAGCATTATTTGCAGGTTGCCACAGGTGGACTTTTAGTAAGTAACCTAACCCATGTTTCAGCTTCTAAATCTGCAAAATGAGCAAGGTACAGTAGCACATTTTTAGGTGATTCTTAGTAACTCCAGTAGCCTTCATTAGTTAAAAACATTATTATTTTTTGCATGCTGCTTCGACTCTAAATATCTGGTTTTCCCTGTCTTTTTGGTTTACTACTTCCCCAGATTCAGAACAGAGGAGTAACTAGGGGATCTGATTTTAGAGGCCTTAATTTTCTGTTCATGGACTGTTAAAAGTAAAACCAAACTTTCAAAAGGGATAAACCTAAATATTTACTTGTTATCATTAGAGAGGGAACATCAAATGCTGGGACATCATTACTAACCAATAGCATCAGACACTGGATTTAATGGATAATCACAATGGTCGTAATGTATACAAAGACTTATATACCACTTTCTCGTATAAATTTTTCAAAAAATACAATAATAATATAATTTATAAAGAACACTCTTCTATGAACAACCACCACCACCAAAAAAAAAAAAAGCCCTCAGAAAATTTCTCACAAATAAGGCAACTAATGCCTGATATCTCAAAATCCTTTACAAAAGGAGATAGTTCTAGTCAAGGAGTTTTGGGTATGTTACTTTTTTTTCTTCTTTTTCTTTTCATCTGCCTCCATCTTAAGTGCAATTTCTTCAGCTGTAAGAGCTCCCAGTTTCTTATTCTTTGCTTTCTTAACCTTTTCCTTGATGCTGGCCACATCAATTTTAGTTTCAGTAGAAGCTAGACAAATTAAAAGCACAACACATGTAATACTTTAGATTTTACCAAGTAAAACAAAGAATATATGTTTAACAAAGAATATATGTTTAAGGCAGTTAACTTCAGAGTATTCTTATAATTGAATAATTGAAAGGTGATCACAGTATAAAATATAAAAACACTTGCCTAAAGCAGTTAGAAATTTCTTCAGATTAAGATAAAACAAATCATAAAATACTTTATATATTAGTACAAGTATACATAAAAATGGCATAAATGGCATAATTGAACCAATTACTGGATTCAACTATATTAAGACTATTTCCTTAAATCCTACTTCAGACTAAATTATTTTACCTACATTCTTTTCCATATTTTGGAACTTCTGAGTCATTATTTTCCATCTTGCACATTAAAATAATTTAAAATTACATGTATCCCTTCTCAATAAGTTTAATCAGCTAACCCTAAGCTAGAGGTCAAAATCTACTTCCTCTAATATCAAAACGAAAATTTAAAGTTTTCCAAATATTAATTCAATATTAATTGAATATTCAATGAATTAATTCATTTAATGTTAGATTAATTCATTGAATATTAATTCAATGAATGACTAATTAATAGTATTTTAACAAGATTTTGGTATATTTAACAACATTTTGGTAATAAAGACAATAATTTGAGAGTGTGTGGAAGTCCCCCTAATAGAAGCCAACTATCTAATCAATGCCAAAAGTGTGAACAAAATAGAGAAAGGAAGCAGTGAAAAAGAATGCAACTTTTTCTTACCATTCAAAGTACAGGATCACAGCATAAAAGAATCATAAGATAAAACATCAAACTACCCAGCAACCTGAGAAGCACAGAGTGTTAAAGCCTCCACCGTGTGGAGAAACTAAATTAGGGTAACTAGCTATTGAGTATATTGAGTACCTTCAAAGCACTCAACTGACAGGTTTTACAGACTGGAAATTATAATACTTATGACATTTCTACCTTTTATATAACCAATAATCTACCATAGAATGTAGTATTTTTAAAGCTATTAACAAGCAATATATTAAAATAATAATGTATTATATCTGTTTCTGACCCAGTCTATGTACAATATTGCTGGTGAGCCCTCTCCCTTCAGTGTGTCACTGTTCACTTTGGAGGGTTACTTTAGGAAGAGGATAAGTGTTACCACAGGGGAAAAAAATGCAGAAGAGGATGCATCAGAAGAAATGGCATGACAATGTTTTCTCTTAGTGTCTTTTAAATACTAGGTTAGTGCGAAAGTGATTTCTGCCATTTAAAAACCACAATCACTTTCGCACTAATAGCTCCTGAATAAGACCTGTCAGCATCCTTTAGTCTAAGGTGATGAGAAATCCATGTTACCGATATAGAAGCCAAACTCTAAGCCAAGATCACATAAAGAGAAGAAAAAGTACAACTTCTGATAATTCCTCTTTGAGAGGCATGACAGCAGAGCTCAGGGATCTTCTTGCATTTCTACAGAAGATGCACTGGCTGCCCTGGGTTTGTATCTTTCACAACAAAGAGTCTTTTCCAAGCACAGACCAGAGGTCAGGAGAGGACTGTCAATCCAGTTTGCACTGAAATAGGCATTAGCTGCCTCTAAATTATAAATTATCTCAGCCATCCCTTGTCCTTAGGATTAGTAATTAATGAAATGCTAAGAGAACTGATGAAAAGATACAACTGTTTCTTAAAAAGATTCAGACAAATTTATTATGGGTTTACTTTTCCTAATTAATAAAGACTTTTACATCATAGAAAGCATTACCTTCCTTAGGTTTCACAATTGGTTTTTCCTTAGGTGGAATAAATGCTTTGTTTCTTTCCTCTTGTCTCTTACTGATGGCTTCTGCTTGTTTAGCCTACATTAATAAATAAAAAATATATCAGTTAAATGTATTTATAGTTAAATAATTCAAGTATCTATGAACTTTGCTATTCATGTGAGCCAGACATAAAGTGCCGTACCTTTATTGCTTCCATTTTCTGCCGCTTCTTCTGATTTGCCTTCAAAAAGTATTCACCACTAGCCAATTCTTTATCGATCTGTTGAAAACGGTATTTACAATTACATCAGAAATAATGTAGAGGAGAAGTCATGTCCTAAGCAAGTCACAATATCCTTAGGGTAAAAACAATGGGGTCAAACTGATTTATTAATAAAAATGGTAGTGACATAAAGGAAACAGAGTCTAAGCTGAGGGGAATACATACACAAAAGTGTGGAGGTAGGAAAGCACCTCCATGGAATACAACCCAGAGTAGTTCAGGGATATGGCATGGAAGGTCACTGATTCAGAAAAGTGTGAGAAGAAACTGGAGAGAGAGTTTTGGGGAAAATTTGAAGAAGCTTCAATGGCAGACAAAGTAGGAGGGATAAGATTTAGAAATGACTGTAGGTTTCTGAGAAGACTGTAAAGACCAAAGAATAATTTTAATGGAGAGGAATGAAGAATAGATGAGAGCCTGGAATAAAGGTAGTGGCATGCAGAATAAAAGCCAGAACTATCAGGAATTGGTGACTAATTAGCAAAAGCAACAGCTTGTTCATTCAATATACAGCCAACATGTAAAATGTGTATAACTGACCTGTCTCCCACTTACATAGCATTATTATATCTAAGGCACTGTTCTAAGCTCTTTATAATTACTCATTTAATCCTCACTAACAATTCTTTAAGATAGGTATTACCATTACTCCCACTTTAGGTATGGGGAAACTTAAGTATGGATGGGATAAATAACTCGCCCAGTCACATAATGAATTAAGTGTTAAGAACAAGTCAATCGAGACATCACTGTTTCAAGAAGCTTACACAGCTACAGAAGAAAGATAAGTCAATTACTACAAGAAAGGGCCATAAGAAATAAGGCAGGTGTTATGGAAGCATGGTTTAATGACTGCATCACTCCACTTTCCCCCTAACTACTATCAATTTCCTCCATGATCCAAAACTTCCATTGTTTTTTCACTATGATCATCATTTTCCCCGTCAATCACAAATCTTCCCTGAAAGACTCCAACCATGGTTGTGGAAAAAAGAGATGTAGAAAGCAATGAGTTCACATGCTGAGCAGAAGTAGAAAGGGAAGGCTTTAGGATATAGCCAAGGAAGGGAATAATGAAGCAAGAACCCCCAGGAGACAGGTGAAGATGGAATTCAAAGAACACATAGAAGAGGCTGATGCAGGTGGAAGAAAACCCATACGTGAGAGAAGAGGAAACAGAAAGGGGTTCTTATCTGGTGGTCTCAAATATTTCAATAAAATGCAATGTCATATGCTAAACATGGGAGGGCACTGAGAGAATTAAGAGGAAACATGAATTTTGAATGAAATTAATCCAAAGATAAAACTTTCTCTAACTTAATTTGGTAGCCACGTTGCAAGGAAGAAGTCAAGTTTTTAGACTGATCCAAGTTTTAGAGCTTTGCTGAGAAGGTGGGACAGAAGTAAAAAGGGGCATGAATCAAAACAATGATGTGCAAGAACAAAATGGAAACTGGTCATGGTGGGAAAGGAAATGAAGCAGAAGACACCTGACAAAAGGAATCATAACTTAGAAAAACGGTGGGTGTTACAATTTACAATTTAAGATTTCAGAACAAGAACAACCATAGAGCACACAGTCACAATAATGTTGCCAAATCAGAGAAAAGAGTATTGCAGACTAAACGAACTTTTATCCATGGAACATTTACAGTGGCTACAGGGTCACAAACCTCCTGGATGCAGTTTATAATCAATGTGAACGCCCCACTGCACACCCCCATGCACTCAGCTCAAAATATGCCTATTTATATTTACCCTCAGTTTCTTATAGCTCTGCACACACACACACAATATATATATATACACATATCCCACCTGAAATACTTTCAATAAAGTTTCTGACCAAATACATTAAAATAGATTCTCCTTCATATGAAGTTCTACATTTAGTACTAACCTGACTTTCTGGTTGTGGTGGTGGGAATGGCGTATATTCTTTCTTAACAGTTTTTTTCTTTGGTTCCTTGCGTTTATTCACATTTTTGTGTTTGAACTGTGGCAAAAATCTCTCCCAACTTTGTGATCGTAATTCAGAATCTTTTGCCAACTCTCTCTTAATCATTAAGCTCTTTAGTCATGCAACAAAGTAAAAATTTTTACTTTCCAAAGTCACACATTTGTCAGACTCAGACATTATAAATATTGCTTCTATAAATAATAAAAGAAACAGTTCCTAGTTTCTTTGGTGAAATTAAACCAATTACATAAGCAAAAAGGTAGGTTATCACAAACATGTATAATTATTAGAAAACCATTAGAAATTTAATTACAAAATGCAGAATTGTTAAAATGAGACAAAAATAAAACTGAATTTTCAACCATTATTTCATTAAAACATTTAAAATGCCACTTATAAAAGCAGGGAGGGCTCTTAATTAGCTGATGTTCCCTGCAAGCAGGAAGTTTTCAGTAGCAACTGAAATATCACAGAAAAAGACAAAAGTAAACTTTCTCACGATTACAGAAAACCAGTATTTTCACATTTCCCTATTCCATTTAAATTTCAGACCATGGAACATCAGAGGATGCAAACCAGGGATCAGACACATAGTTTTGTTTTTGTCTGCAATATCCCAATATCCCAATGTAACTCAAAATCACTTTCCCCCAATCTAACAGTGACTTTATAACTTAAGTTCATCAAATTTAAGTGGATTGCTCAACAAACCCATCATAAAATAGTTCTATATACCATGGTTACATTTCCAAGAATAATCAAACTTTGTGCACACAGGGATATAACAGTTCTCTCTCAAAGGAGCTACAATTTGAGTGTTAAATTCATAAAAAGGTTTTAACGCAACATGAGATGTTCCAGATTTTAATAGAAAAAGGCAGATTTCCGAAAGATCATATCCTTAAATACATGGGTTCATAATCTAAGAAAACTGGATTGATATGATCTACAACAGATTCTGTGAAGCTTACTTTCATTGATTACAACTATATAACATATTACAGTATCCCCTTCAGTAGTTTTCACACTGTGCTCCACAGAGAGCTTCTAAGAAGTACCTACAAAACTGGGGTAGAATTAAGTAGGCTGAAGTCTACCCCTAATTTACCCAAAATAGCTCTGCTTTATCTGTTTGTGCATTAGAATTTCATAAAACATTTAATTTCAAGAAAGGTTTCTGTAGCTAAAAGAAGTATGATAATCACTGGTACAGTTATATATAATTACCACTCACTTTAATGTTATAAATTGGATGAATATTCTTCATAGTATCAAGGACTACTTTTCTAACCTGAAATTTGCAAAGAAAAATGAATTAGTCACAAGGATTTTAATGAGCTATGGAGAAGAGGATTAATACTGCAAAAATCAGGTAATGGGTACCAAATTAAATAATGTAATTAAATAATTAAGTAGTTCCTTCAACTGCTCTGAGTGGCTTCTCCATCTTTCATAAAGGCAGTCAATCTCCCTTGAATACAATACAGTTTCTCAATTACTGCTAAAATGTAGCACAGAGAACTAATACAACACTCTAAAGCAATGTGATTTAGGAGGAAGAGGGCTGGAATACAAGGACTGCCACTGCATACAGGAAAATCACTTTCCTGTTCCAGCTTTCTCATTTGTAATATAAGATAAAACCATATACCTCAAGACTCTCTTGTAAGAATTGTATTCAATATACTTAATTATTGCTCCATGAGAAAAGAGCAGACAATTTATGACAAAAAAGGCCAATAGGATTACTATTAAAGGCCCTGGAAAGGAAGCACAACCTCACAAGCCAGATCCAGACAGTAATAGTACCAAAAGGAGTTAACAGAAACAGCATTTGCTCCACAGATTTCCTCACCACATGTAATTTGAGAAGTTAAAGAAAATGTTCATGAAAAGTTATTAAACATTATACTAAAATTCAAACAAAAGAAACTACATCTTGAAGAAAAGTTTTCAGAGTGTGACCTCTACTGGCTGTATACACTACTGCAAATAACTGGATTTTTGCTCAATTTTCCCGTCATTTGGACATATGTAACTATACCATGTTCATACATGCTACAGACTGAAGATCTTAATGCTCATTTAAATTTTATAGTGGGAGGAGTAATAGTGTGCAGACCATCTAATTCAGAAATGGATGTCTCCATAGTTGCCAAGGTTGGCCAAAACATGTTAGGGTCCAGATATGATGATTCCCTTGAATTATATGACATAAAAAGTATTTACTAATGGGAAATCAAAGCACATTCTAAAGAAATAAAATTATAAAGCATTATCCAATAAACTATATTATAACCAAATTATTTGTTCTCTGCTGAAAATGAATCGAAGATAATACATAGTTCTCACCTCTTTTAAGCCACTAAAAGGTCCAATGGCTGAAACTGTGTTTCCCTGAACCATAATGTAACAATTAGTTAAGAGTTCCAATGCCTGTATCAAGAGATCAAGTTAAAATTCATTACTCTGAAAAAGTATTAAGGAAGAGACTCAAGTTTTCCACTAATTAAAAAATACCTTCAATGTAGATCCTTTGGGACCAATAAGCCGTTGTCTTCGTTTTACAAATCTCTCTTTATTCCTTACTAAAGAACCTATTTTAATGATGTCACATGCAACATCATCCTGAAGAATTCGTACTGCCTTTTGCAAAAAAAAAAAAAAAAAGAAGACATTATCAACATTTTTTACAATTACATTCATTTTCCAGGCCCACGCTATTGTTACCTAAGCACAAATATGAAAACTTGATGGTGGGATGTTATAGGTTAACACTGATGCAAACAAAGCAAAGTCTCTGTAATTCTAGATTTACCTGTTCAAATGAAACACTCCTTGCTAACAGTTTTATCAGATCTCTGGCCCTAATGATGATATATGGATCAAAAGTCTTCTTTGTAGTACAAACAGTCATGCTGCCTTCGATCAGGTCCAGGGTTGCATTAACATGCTACAGAAGGAAAGAGCAAACAAGCAGTTGTCTAAAAATGAGTTTTTTTAGATAATTATAAAGCCTCTCCTAACCAACCTATTAATTTCTGTCACCTCTCAATTCCTATCAATTACTTCCCTGAAGAAGCTAGGTAGTTAAGTATAAATAATGAATACTCAATTACTTTCACACTTTACAGACTATAAGAAACTGGAGCAATTGAAACCATTTACCCTTGGTTTTAGAATACTTTGTACCCACTGGAATATAGATTGCCTCTAATTTAAAAATTATAAATCAAACAAATGAGGTCATACTTAAAATCTGACTAAGGTAAAAATGTAAAGCTGTACAGCTTCCCTATTCTGGACCCAGCTCCAGTCTACCATCTGCTCCATTGGGTAAGAATTGACTTTCCCTTTCAAACTTTTTTCGAGCTAATTAGGGGACTAAATACAAAGTAAAAGCAAATTATCATAGTTTCAGAAAAAAGCAATGATTAGAAAACTTAAGCATTAACTTTCAACAGGAAAAAACAGATTTCAACAAAGCGAATTAAAATGCTATTTTCTCACTTGTGAGCATAATCTCAAGAATATTTCAACATAGTTAAGTGCTGAACAATTCAACATATGGTTGAGTCTCTATGAGTTTACAAAAAAAAAATGAGCTCAATCCCAGATGCAGCTACAAAACACAACCTGCAGCTTGCTGAGCCACCTTCACCCACAATGGCACAACCAACTCCAGAGCAGTCCCACAGTTAGAAACACATTTTATATCACAACCTAATACATATACACACACACACAAACAAAGCCAATATCAAAAAAAGATACTTTTACCATGTGATATGTCATTTTCTAAAGGCTCATTATAGCCATTAAATTGACTTCTCAATACACTAATGGGTTTCAATCCCCAGTTTGAAAAAAAAAATGCAGTTATCTAGGGGCATAGCATCAGCAATAAACAAGGAAAAGTTGGACACATCCACATCTTCCATTTAAGATGAAAGGTAATCAATTAGAAACATGACTCAGCTCAGACTGGGACAGATACATGACAACTATCATGGCCTGGAGCAGGCATACTGAAATTGGGACTTCACAGGTGAATTTCAGACAGTTGTGAAGCTCCTAAAATATTAAAGGTATGTAAATTTTTCAAAGTAATTTATTACTCATAAAATTAAAACAAATGAACATTAGGTAAGAAGAAAACTTACTTAAATAGTTTAGAATACCAAAGGAACCAAAGTAACCAGCTATGTTAGCACCATTAAAAAAAAAAAAAAAGCATTAGCATACATACATTTAAAGGCATAAGCAAGAGCAAAGTCTCAAATAAATGTATTGATATAAGATACACATACATGTTCATTTAAGGCTTTCTGCACCAATGGCCAACACTCTTTCAAGTAAGCTTCCCTGTATTTTGGGAACAAAGTTGCGAAACTGCTCTCCTCCAAAAGTCCTCTGGGATTGTCCTCTTTGGAAAAAGCTGGTTCCTTCCAACCATCAGGAACCGTAAGGAGTTCTGATTCATCTACAGAAAGGAAAAAATTTACACATCACATTTTAACTGTCTTTTGGACATACACATCACATTTTAACTGTCTTTTGGACACTTTATGAACATCCTATGCACATATTCACAAACCTTCCAATACTCCTTGCATTTCCTTTTCCCCTGCTTTTTATATTATTCAAGAGTCAAAGAACGTTCCTCTGTCATTATCATCAATTCTCTGTATTAAAATTATCTGTACACATTTCAGTTGCCTCATATGACAAAGTTCCTTAAGAGCAGAAACCCTCTTCACACTAGTTGGCATATGCCAGGCAGATAGTGAGTACTCCAGAAACATGTACTGCACTACACTATCATAAAATTGAAGATTTGAATGCCATTTTGGTTAGTATTTTAAATACAATTAACCTTTCTGACTTTCCTGGAGTGTATGGAATCTGGATGTATGTGTTTGTGTAAAACTTCTGAAAGAGAATTCTAGTTTATCTTTCAGTTAATAATCACTGGTAATTCTAGATTTTCCTAAGCATTTTGAGTGCCTTATTTCCATACGCCTTTCATCGTAACTATAAAAGGTAGAATCTGTATTATTATTCTCATTTTATAGAAGATGGTCTAAAAAGGTTAAGTGACTTGCCTAAGGGAACACAAAGCTCACTCAGCCTGGGACTCCTTTCACTACAAGAAAATGCCTCCTAAGGGCCGTAAATTATCTTCTGAATCATTTATTTAAAAAACTCTTGATCTTGAATTTGAAGAACTCCTTAATTTCAATAGCTATACTCTAATTCAGTTATACTCAAAGGTATGATCCATAGACTTGCAGTATCAGCACAAACTGTAAGTCTGTCAGAAATGCAATTATTGGGCCCCACTACAGACCTACTGAATGAGAATCTCTTCGACGAGGGACAAGAATCTGTGTTTTACCATGCTCAACAGGAGACTCTTAAGCACGGTAAAGTTTGAAAAACACGTCATTACCCTATGTTAGCAGCCTCAGACAGGTAAACTTTCTGCTTATACTCACATCCACGTTGCTATTTCTGGTTCAAATCACAGACAATTGGCTAGTCTTCATATAAAGGATTCTCCAATGTCCTTTAAAGAACACGAATTCCACAAAAGTGATTACTTATATACTATACACATTTCTTTTTTTTTTTTTTTTTTTAAAGACAGGGCCTCGCTCTGTCACCCAGGCTGGAGTGCAATGGCTCCATCCCAGCTCACTGCAGCCTGGACCTCCTGGACTCAAGCGATCTATTCTCTTGCCTCAGCCTCACAAGTAGCTGGTACTACAGGCATGTGCCATCATGTCCGGCTAATTTTTTTTTTTTTTTTGTAGCGAAAGGGTTTTGCCATGTTGACCAGACTGGTCTCCTGGGCTCAAGCAATCCCCCCTCCTCAGCTTGCCAAAGTGCTGGGATTACAGGTGTGAGTCACTGCAACTAGTTACTTACAATGTTTACCTGACGAAGTCCCTATCCAATTTAAACACTTCAAAGGCTATGGATAATTTTTTTTAAAATCCCCACTACAACCTCAGGAAAAAAACTGACAAAAGAAATACTCAGGAGTTTCACAATTAAGGAAGCCTCAAAACATGTGAAAAGATATGCAACCTCATAGGTGATCAGAAAATGCAAACTAAAACTGCAACCAAATACCATTTCATAACTACCAAAATGACAGAAATTCAAAATTCAGATAACATGTATTCATACTAATGTAAGGCAATGACAACTTTCGTCCACTCCTAGTGGGAACAAAACTGACACTAGCACTTTGGAAAAAAGTTAGCATTACTTACACACACCCTACACTTCAGTGATTCCAATCCTATGTTCACAACCTAGAGAAACCCTTGAACATGTTAACCAGAAGACATGTACAAAGATGTTTTAGCAGTATTGTTTATAATTGCAAGCAATTGGGAACAATCCAAATGTCCACCGATAGTAAAATGAAAAAATAAATTGGGGTATATTCATACAAGGAAACACCACATAACAGTGAAAAGACTAAAACTACACCCGCAAGTATCACCCTGTTTGAAAAACAAAAAGCTAAATCTAAGAAGACACAGAAAAATGCATACGGTCCACTTTCATGTATATAAAATTAAAAAACAGGCTAAATTAAGCCACTTCATGACTACAAGAAGAGGAACAGAATGCAACACAATTCAGGGTGGTTACGTCTGATACAGGAAAAGAGAATATGATCTGAGAGGTGCACGTAAGGGTTTGAGGGGTATGGTAATGCTCTATTTTACTTAGTCTGAATGCTAGTTTCCCGCATGGTTTTATTAAACTCTATATAAGTTGTATCCCCTGCTATGTACGTTACATAATCATTTAATGAGCAACAACAAAGAAACTTTGAATACTTTCCCAATGCATCTAAATTGAGAGTTCAATGTTTTTAACACTTCCTATAAGCCTGGTTGAACAGATCCCCAGGCTATTTATGACTTCTCTATCATTCACACTGAAGAAAACGGGTAAAACCAGACTACAACGCAGGAGTTAACAATTAAAAGGTAACACAACCTAAACAGTAAGGGCTGTGTCGTCTAATATTTTAGCATCTGACAAACAGGAATTGATAATCTTTCAAAATGTCTTTACTGACAAACTAGAGCTAAGGACATGTCGGATAGCTCCTTTCCCCATACCTCACCCCATTATCAGGGTCCACTCTTGTATATCATGACTACCTATTCCCACCTCACCCTATTCCTCATTCCGTCAGTGACTTTCAGCCACCCGCAGGCTTACAAGGTTCTGCGTCGCCCTAGGCATTTTCTTAATACTCATCCTTTTACAAAAGACGTAATCCGCAACAGCTTCGCTTTGGGGACCCTTTAGCAAAAGCAATGAATTAGGAACACCTGGGTGGCACCATATCGGCCAGCCGTTCCTGTGGGCCCAGCCAAAATCTTATCAGCGATTATTCAGGTACTCAACTACACAGTACAGGCTCCAGGTGGTTTTATAAGTCCACGAGGAACGAAAGAAAAAAACATCGCAACTCAACGTACACAAACCCCAGGCTTCGGTTCCCACATAACATCACCTTGGTTCTCCGGCTTCGGCTTCTGGTTACGAAATTCACTTTTTCCAGCGCCTTTTTCTGGCCGCTCCAGCGAGGGAGACGCCATTTGCAAGCTGCTTCCGGTGGCTCCGGAAATGAAACTGTTCTTAAACCCTACCGGCTAAAACGCCTACACTCAAAATGAGTTCCGCGGAACTCAGACGAGGAGATCTGCGCAGTCTCCGTGCGTACGTGCGTTAAGCCCGCGCTTTTACACAAACCACAGCTTCTCCTACGTGGCCAATGAAGAGCCGGAGACTTTCTCCCAGTATGCCCTGAAACCATGGAGTTTGCGTACTGGGACTTGTAGTTTAGCAGGCGGTATAGGCAAATTGGATACTGTTTTATCCGTAGTTTCCTCGTGGCCTCACGGCCTAACCTGGACCATCGGACAGCGGAGTGCTACCAACCTGTCATTGATGTCATTCATTCTTTCGATAAATATTTATATGTTGGCCAAATATGCGCTAGATGTTGGGAGGAAGTACAAATATGAGAATACAATGTATATTGGGCCTCCACTGCAACAAGTGACAGGAATAGCTACTATTTATTGTGAGACTACTTTGTTTCAGTACTTTATTTACATTATTTCTAATTTTAAAAACAGTGACAAAATTAAACTTTTCAAAGTTGTTTCTGATGGTAATCTTCCCGAGTGTTGGTATTTCTCTAAGTCAGAGGGATGGTAATTCAACATCCTGACGTTTCTGAAGTATTTCAACTAGCCTAAGATTTCTCAAAATCTCTAAACTCCTTTTCTACCCCCAACATTACATAGGGCTAAGATGTGTAGAGAGGTTCATCACTAACTACAAATAACTACACTTTTGGAAGTATAAGAGTTCTTCGACATGCCAAATATAAGATTTTTTTAAATTTTGATTTTATTGCTTGCATTTCTAAAATTTTCTGCAGCAAATAGGGAAAGTCTTTGATAGGTTAAATTCCTTGCATTAGTGAAATACACGTTTGTCTGATAAATCCACTCTCGTGTATCTTATACAATAATTTAGGTTTTCATATATGAGATCCAGGTATGAAACAGATTGTTACATATGGACAGAAGAACCCACGACAGAGGGGTTTTTTGTTTTTATCCTGTGAGTTTTATAAATGACAGGGATTTTATCTCTGTTCTTTTAATTTCCTCAAAAAATGATAAATTCCTAAAATAGAACAGATAGCAGCAGGTGAAAGTTATAAAGTGAGGAGTACACCTCATGAAGCAGGTTTTTATCATTCTTATTTTAAGTAACTCAATCACTAATAAGTGGAAGGCCCGTCTTCAAGTTCAGGCAGTTTGACCTAGCAGCTTCAGGGGGCTACTATTCATTAGGAGCTTCAAATGTGTTAGAGGGCTGATAGGGATTAAGGGGAGGGAATAGTCTAGAAATAATATTTGTGTTAAAGCCCTTTATTTTATAGCAAAATTTTCTACATAGGCTTTTCTTCCCATTTACGTGTATATTTTTAATCTTAGTATTGCTATTATTTGAGGAATATTGAGAATATGATGGAGATGGGAAAACGAAAACCCACCCATCCTTTTCTTGGCACTATTGAGTCTGTTTGTAAAACCCAACCTTTTAATTACCATACTATGCAGAGCCCACAGTTCACCTGTCCCTTTTTGAAATTTTTACATCTTTTTCCAAATCATTACTGAAAGGGGTGTAAAAACATGGATAATAATTGAGTTCTAAGATTCTCTAACGTCCTCAAGACCTCCTATTATAGATGACACCACACTAAAACTGTCTGCTTTCCAAAGGAAAAGATTCATCAGGCTCCTACAATAAGTTATTTCAGTATTAAGTGATTCTTTCCCTTCCCTAACTCAAAAGCCCTCATGTTGTCCACCAACTGAATATACAATATAAAAACAATATATGATTGGAAGTTAAGTGAATTTTTTTAAGTCTGTTACTTGCCTTCCAGAACCCATAATCTAACACAAGTTATATCACAGGAATAGGGAGTTATCTTACATATAGGATATAAAAGCTTTTACTAAAAAATGAATCCTGCAACAAAAATCACAAATTAATTTAAAAATATTAATTATAATGACTATTAATCATATACTGAAGGGTATATATAATTATACAGTACTTTTTCCTCTGTGATAATATGAGATAAAATATAGCAAGATACTAATTTGATGCTAGTAGTTATAAGAAGTAATGTATAAAAATTAAATGAATAGAAAATTGCATGAGACTGAGAGGCTGAAGCTTTTCCTTAGTACACATACATTTTTTTTTCAGTTTTAAAACAGACTCTGATGCTTAAATATTGTTACTCATTAACTGAATTTTCATATTTTGGCTTGACAAGCAGGAATAGCACATATATATATACTTACTAAAAATTAAAATTGACAGTCAAATTGAATGAGAACAACGTTTCAACAATTTGCTTAGACTATGTTTTAAGCAATTTTGAAGAAAAATTTTAAAATAAACGTGGTATGGAATAAACAAATTCCGAAATTAATTCGACTAGTTCTTCTAAGAATTAAACATTGTAACCAATATTACATATGAGTAGTTTAAACTTTTAAAACCTCTTAACAATAGTTTCCACATGTGGGAACTATTTGCTCTAGATTCCTTACTTTGGAAAAGAGCAGATCTAATTTCAACATCTTCCAAAAATTCATTAGAATTGAAAGAACAATTTGATTTTAAATAAATATTGAATAATGACTAAAAATTATAAATATTTATTGAATACATATTGAAAATAAATATTGAAAAATCTCCTAAAATCACCTTAGAAGACTATAAACTCAAAAGTGATTATCAAAATGACAGTGTCCAAATTTTCATCTCAATTTCAATGATTCACTGATTATAAAGTATTCAAAATAATAATTTAAAATTTAAAATGATGAGAAATAGGGTAAAAAAATAAAGGATATAAAAGAGGGCAAAATATTCGCAAAACATTTAATGGGTTGATTACAATAATATTCAAGGCGATAAAAAGATGTAAGCAATTCAATCAAAAAATGAGGAAAGCCCGAGGGCAGTGGCTTACGCCTGTAATCCCAGCACTTTGGGAGGCCGAGGCGGGCGGATCACGAGTTCAGGAGATTGAGGCCATTCTGGCTAACACGGTGAAACCCCGTCTCTATTAAAAATTCAAAAAATTAGCGGGGCATGGTGGCACGCACCTGTAGTCCCAGCTACTAGGGAGGCTGAGGCAGGAGAATCGCTTGAATCCAAGAAGCAGATGTTGCAGTGAGCCGAGATCATGCCACTGCACTCCAGCCTGGGTGACAGAGCAAGACTCCATCTCAAAAAAAGAAAAGAAAAACGGAAAATATATTAGTAGATATTTGTGATGGTTAATTTTAAGTGTTAACTTGACTGGGTAATATTGTCCCGATATTTGGGCCTACATTATTATGGATGTTTCTGTGAGAGTACTTTTAGATGAGATTAACATTTAAATCAGTGAACTTTGAGTAAGGTAGATTGTCCTCTATATACTGTGGGTGGTCCTCATCCAATCAGTTGAAGACCTGAATAGAACAAAAACATTGACCTCCCCTGAGAAAGAAGAATTGTGCAGCAGAAGTCCCTTGTACTTGAATTGCAGCATTGTCTTGTCTTTGTCTCCAGCCTGCCAGCCTACCGTGCAGATTTTGGACTCGCCAGCCTCCATAATCATGTGAACCAATTTTTTAAAATAAATAAAAATAAATTACACACACACACACACACACACACACACACACACACACATTGGTTTTGTTTCTCTGGAGAGCCCTAATACAACAATTTATAGTAGAGCTAATCCAAATGACTGACGAACATATGATGTTCAACCTCACTACTGTCAACAAAGTATACAGACTTAACAATGAAATATCACTTCTCACCCACCAGATTGAAAAAAAAGAAAAGAAATAAAAAACATACATTTAAAAAAAATACTGCTAGAGGAAAGAATAGTCTCATACATGGCTAGTGCAAATGTAAACTGTTACTGCCTTTTTGCAGAGCAATTTAGCAATATAAAATACACACATATGGTTCTGCAGTAATTCCACACCAGATAAACTATTGAATAGAAATAAAGGACCATTCAATTAGAATGTTTCTACAATAGTGTTGATTACTACCTTCTATAAAAGTAGTTTAGTGAAATATACTTTGGAGCCATACTGACTAGTTTGCCACCTATTGGCTATATAGCCTGGGGCGTTTCTTACCTACTCCTGCTCAGTTTTCTAAAATGGGGAGAATAACCTAACCCCTCAGTAGCTTAATACATGTAAAGCGCAAAAAAAAAAAAAAAAAAACTTAGCACATGATAAACACTTAATAGGTGTTAGCTATTATTGTTTATACTGGCAAAAAGTAAAAGCATTTAAACTATCAATTAGGGATCTAGTTAAATAAATTGATATTACTTTCATAACCATGGGCTATTATACAACCATTTATAAGAATTAAATCTATATGAAAAAATACATAGAATATTGAGCAATAAAAGCCAGATATGTAATATAAACATACACATACACACACGTATATATAATATGATCTCATTTTTCTAAGGCAAACCATTCATTTATTCAACAAATATTTACTGAGCATCTATGACATTCAAGACACTGTTCTAAATACTTGGTTATATTCTATGTGCTGAATATAATATATGAATACATGAGTTTGTATGTGATTGTACAATAAAAAAATTGGGACAGATACACATTAAGATTTTAAGACTGGCTAACTTAGAGATGAAGATGATTAGAAAAGAAGATGAAACTAGGCAAAAAGACAGAAGAAGATGTCCATGATAAAATAGCATGTATAAAATGATACTATTTACATACAACTGTATGTGTGTGTGTGTGTGTGTTTGTGTGTTTCTGTATGAAAAGATGGTCATCTAAATGTTGACTATGTTACCTCTCAGTATAGAGACATTTCAAAGTATGGCAATTAAATGGCAATACAGTTGTAAATCAATCACAATATACATCATTTTTCTTTAACATCCTAGGAAATCTGAACATAAATATGTAAATAAATAAGCAAATAGAATATGTACTTAAATGACACTAAAAGGGGAAAGAAAAATGGACATCTCTAAAGGGTTTCTTGGCACAAATCTAGAATCTAGATTGGAAAGCCCTTGGGTCACAGCCACAGGCAGGCCTTTCTTTTTCTTTTGGAGACAGAGTCTCGCTCTGTTGCCAATGCTGGAGGGCAGTGGTGCCATCTCAGCTCACTGCAAACTCTACCTCCTGGGTTCAAGCAATTCTCCTGCCTCACCCTCCCAAGTAGCTGGACTACAGGCGCCTGCCACCATGCCCGGCTAATTTTTGCATTTTTAGTAGAGATGGGGTTTTGCCATGTTGGCCAGGCTGGTCTTGAACTCCTGAACTGAGATGATCCACCCACCTCAGCTTTCTAAAGTGCTGGGATTATAGGCATGCCCTTTTTGATTGTGACTTCTCTCCTCTTTAGCCTCTTAAGCAATCTAGACCCACATGCAGCCACAATCATCTTCCTGTGAGAAATCTGCTCTACTTGTTCTTACCCTGCTTATTCATTTTCCCAGGGAAAGCACAGATTGTCCTCACAACAACTCTCCTTTGGAATTAAAGACCTTAATTCTCACGGTAACCAGAGGGTAGAGGGGAAAGAAAGAGTAAGGATGAGATTTAACAATGTCTTTGGAGAGTGTATTATCTCTTATTAAAGCAAACAGGAAAATGGCAAATAAATGTGGTTTATTTTTATTTAACATTTCTACACTGATTTATCAGAGATAAAAATTAATTTTGCACAGTAATCTACTTTCTTGCTAACTTTATTTTCTTTTTTAATAATCTAGATAGGATTTCTCAAGTACATAACGTTGACACATTTTTATTTTCTTTTTTTATTATACTTTAAGTTTCAGGGTACATGTGTACAATGTGCAGGTTTGTTGCATATGTATACATGTACCATGTTGGTGTGCTGCACCCATTAACTCGCCATTTAAACATTAGGTATCTCTCCTAATGCTATCCCTCCCCCCTTCCCCCACCCCACAACAGGCCCTGATGTGTCATGTTCCCCTTCCTGTGTCCATGTGTTCTCATTGTTCAATTCCCACCTATGAGTGAGGACATGTGGTGTTTGGTTTTTTGTCTTTGCGACAGTTTGCTGAGAATGATGGTTTCCAGCTTCATCCATGTCCCTACAAAGGACATGAACTCATCATTTTTTATGGCTGCATAGTATTCCATGGTGTATATGTGCCACATTTTCTTAATCCAGTCTATCATTGTTGGACATTTGGGCTGGTTCCAAGTCTTTGCTATTGTCAATAGTGCTGCAATAAACATACGTGTGCATGTGTCTTTATAGCAGCATGATTTATAATCCTTTGGGTATATACCCAGTAATGGGATGGCTGGGTCAAATAGTAATTCTAGTTCTAGATCCCTGAGGAATCGCCACACTGATTTCCACAATGGTTGAACTAGTTTACAGTCCCACCAGCAGTGTAAAAGTGTTCCTATTTCTCCACATCCTCTCCAGCACCTGTTGTTTCCTGACTTTTTAATGATCGCCATTCTAACTGGTGTGAGATGGTATCTCACTGTGGTTTTCATTTGCATTTCTCTGATGGTCAGTGATGATGAGCATTTTTTCATGTGTCTTTTGGCTGCATAAATGTCTTCTTTTGAGAAGTGTCTGTTCATATCCTTCGCCCGCTTTTTGATGGGGTTGTTTGTTTTTTTCTTGTAAATTTGTTGGAGTTCATTGTAGATTCTGGATATTAGCCCTTTGTCAGATGAGTAGATTGCAAAAATTTTCTCCCATTCTGTAGGTTGCCTGTTCACTCTGATGGTAGTTTCTTTGGCTGTGCAGAAGCTCTTTAGTTTAATTAGATCCCATCTCTCAATTTTGGCTTTTGTTGCCATTGCTTTTGGTGTTTTAGACATGAAGTCCTTGCCCATGCCTATGTCCTGAATGCTATTGCCTAGGTTTTCTTCTAGGGTTTTTATGGTTTTAGGTCTAACATTTAAGTCTTTAATCCATCTTGAATTAATTTTTGTATAAGATGTAAGGAAGGGATCCAGTTTCAGCTTTCTACATATGGCTAGCCAGTTTTCCCAGCACCATTTATTAAATAGGGAATCCTTTCCCCATTGCTTGTTTTTCTCAGGTTTGTCAAAGATCAGATAGTTGTAGATATGTGGCATTATTTCTGAGGGCTCTGTTCTGTTCCATTGATCTATATCTCTGTTTTGGTACTGGTACCATGCTGTTTTGGTTACTGTAGTCTTGCAGTATAGTTTGAAGTCAGGTAGCGTGATGCCTCCAGCTTTGTTCTTTTGGCTTAGGATTGACTTGGCGATGTGGGCTCTTTTTTGGTTCCATGTGAACTTTAAAGCAGTTTTTTCCAATTCTGTGAAGAAAGTCATTGGTAGCTTGATGGGGATGGCATTGAATCTATAAATTACCTTGGGCAGTATGGACATTTTCACGATATTGATTCTTCCTACCTGTGAGCATGGAATGTTCTTCCGTTTGTTTGTATCCTTTTTTATTTCATTGAGCAGTGGTTTGTAGTTCTCCTTGAAGAGGTCCTTCACATCCCTTGTAAGTTGGATTCCTAGGTATTTTATTCTCTTTGAAGCAATTGTGAATGGGAGTTCACTCAAGATTTGGCTCTCTGTTTGTCTGTTATTGGTGTATAAGAATGCTTGTGATTTTTGCACATTGATTTTGTATGCTGAGACTTTGCTGAAGTTGCTTATCAGCTTAAGGAGATTTTGGGCTGAGATGATGGGGTTTTCTAAATATACAGTCATGTCATCTGCAAACAGGGACAGTTTGACTTCTTATTTTCCTAATTGAATACCCTTTATTTCCTTCTCCTGCCTGATTGCCCTGGCCAGAACTTCCAACACTATGTTGAATAGTAGTGGTGAGAGAGGGCATCCCTGTCTTGTGCCAGTTTTCAAAGGGAATGCTTCCAGTTTTTGCCCATTCAGTATGATATTGGCTGTGGGTTTGTCATAGAAAGCTCTTATTATTTTGAGATACGTCCCATGAATACCTAATTTATTGAGAGTTTTTAGCATGAAGGTTGTTGAATTTTGTCAAAGGGATTTTCTGCATCTGTTGAGATAATCATGTGGTTTTTGTCGTTGGTTCTGTTTACATGCTGGATTACGTTTATTGATTTGCGTATGTTAAACCAGCCTTGCATCCCAGGGATGAAGCCCACTTGATCATGGTGGATAAGCTTTTTGATGTGCCACTGGATTTGGTTTGCCAGTATTTTATTGAGGATTTTTGCATCAATGTTCATCAGGGATATTGGTCTAAAATTCTCTTTTTTTGTTGTTTCTCTGCGAGGCTTTGGTACCAGGATGATGCTGGCCTCATAAAATGAGTTAGGGAGGATTCCCTCTTTTTCTATTGATTGGAATAGTTTCAGAAGGAATGGTACCAGTTCCTGCTTGTACCTCTGGTAGAATTCGGCTGTGAATCCATCTGGTCCTGGACTTTTTTTGGTTGGTAAGCTATTAATTATTGCCTCAATTTCAGAGCCTGTTATTGGTCCATTCAGGGATTCACCTTCTTCCTGGTTTAGTCTTGGGAGGGTCTATGTATCGAGGAATTTATCCATTTCTTCTAGATTTTCTAGTTTATTTGTGTAGAGGTGTTTATAGTATTCTCTGATGATAGGTTGTATTTCTGTGGGATCGGTGGTGATATCCCCTTTATCATTTTTTATTGCATCTATTTGATTCTTCTCTCTTTTCTTCTTTATTAGTCTTGCTAGCGGTCTATCAATTTTGTTGATCTTTTCAAAAAACCAGCTCCTGGATTCATTGATTTTTTGAAGGGTTTTTTTGTGTCTCTATCTCCTTCAGTTCTGCTCTGATCTTAGTTATTTCTTGCCTTCTGCTAGCTTTTGAATGTGTTTGCTCTTGTTTCTCTAGTTCTTTTCATTGTGATGTTAGGGTGTCAATTTTAGATCTTTTCTGCTTTCTCTTGTGGGCATTTAGTGCTATAAATTTCCCCCTACACACTGCTTTAAATGTGTCCCAGAGATTCTGGTATGTTGTGTCTTTATTCTTGTTGGTTTCAAAGAACATCTTTATTTCTGCCTTCATTTCGTTATGTACCCAGTAGTCATTCAGGAGCAGGTTGTTCAGTTTCCATGTAGTTGAGCGGTTTTGAGTGAGTTTCTTAATCCTGAGTTCTAGTTTGATTGCACTGTGGTCTGAGAGACAGTTTGTTATAATTTCTGTTCTTTTACATTTGCTGAGGAGTGCTTTACTTCCAACTATGTGGTTAGTTTTGGAATAGGCGTAGTGTGGTGCTGAGAAGAATGTATATTCTGTTGATTTGGGGTGGAGAGTTCTGTAGATGTCTATTAGGTCCACTTGGTGCAGAGCTGAGTTCTGTTCCTGGATATCCTTGTTAACTTTCTGTCTTGTTGATCTGTCTAATGTTGACAGTGTGGTGTTAAAGTCTCCCATTATTATTGCGTGGGAGTTTGGTCTCTTTGTAGGTCTCTAAGGACTTGCTTTATGAATCTGGGTGCTCCTGTATTGGGTGCATATATATTTAGGATAGTTAGCTCTTCTTGTTGAATTGATCTCTTTACCATTATGTAATGGCCTTCTTTGTCTCTTTTTATCTTTGTTGGTTTAATGTCTGTTTTATCAGAGACTAGGATTGCAGCCCCTGCCTTTTTTTGTTTTCCATTTGCTTGGTAGGTCTTCCTCCATCCCTTTATTTTGAGCCTATGTGTGTTTCTGCATGTGAGATGGGTTTCCTGAATACAGCACACTGATGGGTCTTGACTCTTTATCCAATTTGCCAGTCTGTGTCTTTTAATTGGAGAATTTAGCCCATTTACATTTAAGGTTAATATTGTTATGTGTGAATTTGATCCTGTCATTATGATGTTAGCTGGGTATTTTGCTTGTTAGTTGATGCAGCTTCTTCCTAGCCTTGATGGTCTTTACAATTTGGCATGTTTTTGCAGTGGCTGGTACCAGTTGTTCCTTTCCATGTTTAGTGCTTCCTTCAGGAGCTCTTTTAAGGCAGGCCTGCTGGTGACAAAATCTCTCAGCATTTGCTTGTCTGTAAAGGATTTTATTTCTCCTTCACTTATGAAGCTTAGTTTGGCTGGATATGAAATTCTGGGTTGAAAACTCTTTTCTTTAAGAATGTTGAATATTGGCCCCCACTCTCTTCTGGCTTGTAGAATTTCTTCTGAGAGATCAGCTGTTAGTCTGATGGGCTTCCCTTTGTGGGTAACCGTACCTTTCTCTCTGGCTGCCCTTAACATTTTTTCCTTCATTTCAACTTTGGTGAATCTGACAATTATGTGTCTTGGAGTTGCTCTTCTTGAGGAGTATCTTTGTGGCATTCTCTGTATTTCCTGAATCTGAATGTTGGCCTGCCTTGCTAGATTGGGGAAGTTCTCCTGGAAAATATCCTGCAGAGTGTTTTCCAACTTGGTTCCATTCTCCCCGTCACTTTCAGGCACACCAATCAGACGTAGATTTGGTCTTTTCACATGGTCCCATATTTCTTGGAGGCTTTGTTCATTTCTTTTTATTATTTTTTCTCTAAACTTCTCTTCTCACTTCATTTCATTCATTTGATCATCCATCACTGATACCCTTTCTTCCAGTTGATCGAATCGGCTACTGAGGCTTGTGCATTCATCACATAGCTCTCATGCCGTGGTTTTCCACTCCATCAGGTCCTTTAAGGACTTCTCTGCATTGGTTATTCTAGTTAGCCATTCGTCTAATCTTTTTTCAAGGTTTTTAACTTCTTTGCCATGGGTTCAAACTTCCTCCTTTAGCTCAGAGAAGTTTGACCATCTGAAGCCTTCTTCTCTCAACTTGTCAAAGTCATTCTCCGTCCTGCTTTGTTCCATTGCTGGTGAGGAGCTGCATTCCTTTGGAGGAGGAGACACACTCTGATTTTTAGAATTTTCAGTTTTTCTGCTCTGTTTTTTCCCATCTTTGCAGTTTTATCTACCTTTTGTCTTTGATCATGGTGACATACAGATGGGGTTTTGGTGTGGATGTCCTTTCTGTTTGTTAGTTTTCCTTCTAACAGTCAGGACCCTCAGCTGCAGGTCTGTTGGAGTTTGCTGGAGGTGCACTCCAGACCCTGTTTGCCTGGGTATCAGCAGCGGATGCTGCAGAACAGTGAATATTGGTGAACAGCAAATGTTGCTGCCTGATCGTTCCTCTAGAAGTTTTGTCTCAGAGGAGTACCCAGCCGTGTGGGGTGTCAGTCTGCTCCCACTGGGGGGTGCTTCCCAGTTAGGGTACTCGGGGGTCAGTGACCCACTTGAGGAGGCAGTCTGTCTGATCTCAGATCTCCAGCTGCGTGCTGGGAGAACCACTACTCTCTTCAAAGCTGTCAGACAGGGACATTTAAGTCTGCAGAGGTTTCTGCTGCCTTTTGTTTGGCTATGCCCCGTCCCCAGAGGTGGAGTCTACAGAGGCAGGCAGGCCTCCTTGAGCTGAGGTGGGATCCACCCAGTTCGAGCTTCCTGGCTGCTTTGTTTACCTATTCAAGCCTCAGCAATGGTGGGCACCCCTCCCCCAGCCTTGCTGCCACCTTGCAGTTTGATTCCAGACTGCTGTGCTAGCAATGAGTGAGGCTCTGTGGGCGTAGGACCCTCCGAGCCAGACTCGGGATCTAATCTCCTGGTGTGCCGTCTGCTAAGACTGTCGGAAAAGCGCAGTATTAGGGTGGGAGTGACCCAATTTTCCAGGTGCCGTCCGTCACCCCTTTCTTTGGCCAGGAAAAGGAATTCCCTGACCCCTTGCACTTCCTGGGTGAAGCAATGCCTCGCCCTGCTTCAGCTCATGCTTGGTGCGCTGCACCCACTGTCCTGCACCCACTGTCTGACAATCCCCCATGAGATGAACCTGGTACCTCAGTTGGAAATGCAGAAATCATTCGTCTTCTGCATCGCTCACGCTGGGATCTGTAGACTGGAGCTGTTCCCAATCGGCCATCTTGGCTATACTCCCTATTTTCTTTTTTTTAAATCTTATTTTAGGTTCAGGGATACATATGCTGACTTGTTATATAGATAAACTCCTGTCACGGGGGTTTGTTGTACAGATTATTTCATCACCCAGATACTAAACCTAGTACCCAATATAGTTATTTTTGCTGCTTCTCTCCTCCCACCCTCCACCCTCGAGTAGGCCCCAGTGTCTGTTGTTCCCTTCTTTATATGAGTTCTCATTATTTAGCTCCCACTTACAAGTGAGAACATGCAGTATTTGTTTTTCTGTTGCTGTGTTAGTTTGCTAATGCAGGAACAGAAAACAGATGGAGCTGGAGGATGGAGCCTCCAGCTCCATCCATGTTCCCTCAAAATTCGTAATCTCATTCTTTTTTATGGTTGCATAGCCACATTTTTATTTTCTAACATACATTAGCTGCTTTTCATTCCAGTCAACTTCATGGAAAAGTTTAAAATTCTAAATCAGTATATCTAACAACTCAATAACAGTAATGATACCTGTGGCTGTAAAAGTAAGCCCTCTTCTAACTCCAAGTGATTTCATGATGAAATAGGTATCTAGTCAAGCACACACAAAAAATGTACCCTAGCTGTAAACTAATTATACATTATCAGTCATAAAATTATTATATTATTAACCTATCTTTAGAAAAATAAAGTGTTGATAAAAGTGAATTGTTCTGCATGTAACCCAAGAACCCTGGGAATCTAGGACAGAGACAAGATTTACGAAACATATTCAGCAAGTCTTGAAATGCTTTCTGCTGTGCAGCAGGATGTTTCATGTAGTTGGTGCCTGGGTGAAACATCTTTGCAGGATACCCACCTCTTTCTCCAAGGCCACACTTCGCAAATTCTGTGGAGAATAAGGTATAATGTACTGTTTTGACTCTAACCAGACATTTAATCTTAGATAAGACTTAACCAACTGGTTTCTTTTATTGTAAAATGAGAGAGTTGGGTTAGATTACTGTTTTTCAAACTTTAACCAGCCTCAGAATCACATGGAGGGGTGGCCCCACTCTCACTTTATAGTAGTATAGTAGGCCCTGAGAATTTGCAGCCCCCCAACAAGAAAGAATTATTGAACCCAAAATATCAATAGTGCCAAGGATAAGACGCTCTGGCCTAAAGGTATTCTGAGTTGCTGTTATTCTACTTTAAAGGGCCAGTAAGTGCCTAACCAAGCATGCCATGAAAGCAGAGTTATTTCCCCCACCTTTTTTTTTTTTTTTTTAAATTTAACCTACCTAGGGCAGTATTAGTTTGGTACCAAAGCCAAAGATTCCAGATGGCTGTTCATTATGATGCTGGGCTCCTCTGTGGACAGGTCTCCATTTTCCTCAACCATATCATTGTGGAATTCTGTTGCCTCATGACCTGAAAAAACACTGGGATTTGTACATACAGTGGACCCTTTGGGTTGAAAGACACTCATTACGGCTTGAATATTAGTCTCTTCAGGCCCCAAGCCAATAAAACATTCATATTTTCATTGGGAATCTAGCCTCTCCTATAATTTACATGCAATCTTCCCTCTTTCTCTTTGTGATTGTTCTCATTGATAAGGACCAGCTTTGATATAATTTTCAGTTTGAACGTTCTTCCCCCTAAAGGAAGCTGGAATACATTCCATGGTATTAGGTTCCACCATAGCAACGGAAGGCTTTTTATTGCATGCATGAATATTCAGGATTTAATCAGTGGCATGTGAAATGTATTGATACTACTGAGAATTATTTTATGCTAATAGAAAAAGCAAACGACAGTCTTTTATTTGTAAACATAACACTGAAAGAACACTTGAACTTTTCTGGAAAGCAAATCTTTAGTCATTTGTTGAAGCTATATGCCTTTCCCATCCTTTAGGTGGCAGTAACTGCAGATGGCCCATAATAAAATGAACTTTTTAAGTGAAATATTTTAAACATTTAATACATTTATATTTTTAAAAATGATTTCATGATGTTAATAAGATGGTGGCATTGCTACTTCATAATTTCAAATTCTCTAATTAAAAAGTCTAGCTACCTGACACTGGGAGGTGTGTAAATGCAGGCTTTAACATAATACTTTTTATCATCCAACAGTGATTTTAACCTCTTTTTGTTTACCATTCCCTTTACTATGTGATGAAATACAGACTCTTTCCCCAGAAGAGCACATGTTTGCATAGACATAATAGCACTCTTCCATAGAATCCCTAGAGGATCAGGCTACCAGTTTAGGGGGCCTTGCCTTAAAGCAACATGAGAGGAGTGTCTCAGAAGCCTGAATCTGATCTTTTAAGCACTAGAGTGTCCTGCTCTTAGAGTTGCCCAGGGGAGGTAGAGGGGATGGAAGCACTCTTTACCTTTAATAAATAAGCATATGCCTTCTTCTACAATTATGATTTCAGTATGATTAAATAGTTGCATAGAACTATACTTCTCAAGACTCCTTTGACGGAAAGTCATAGAAACTCAAAGTAACTTATGTAAAAAAGAGGATTTATAGTCCCATAACCTGGATACTGCATCTAGGAACTCAACAGTGTCATCAAGACAGTAATGCCCTCCCTCAATCACTGACATGTTCTCTCTCTCTTTCTCTCTGTCCCCCTTCTGTGTCTATCAGCAATTCTAGGATGTACATTCTTAACAGAAGAAGAGCTTCTTTTTCTGAAGAGTTATATCAAAAGTCCCAGGTGACCACTTATGTTTAGTTTTATCAGTATTTATCAGTTCCATGCATATTTTTGTTTTTATGGCTACTACACACACACACACACACACATACAATCTTTAAACAAGATAAAGTAGGCTTTTCATATTTTATATGACACATTGTACATTATACTTAATAAACATGTATGTAATTATTATATAACTATTTTACATTAGTTACATTCATATAATGTATAGGTATATTATATATATACAAAATTATATATATAATGTGCATGTACTTATGAAACTTGCTTTTTATGTGGAATATATTGTTTTTAGATATATTCATCTCGAATCCATGTAATGCTAGTTCATTCTACCACAGTAAATAACTTTTGAAATTTGTTTATAAAAGACATTGTGCCTTCCATCTTTGTTGCATTCTCTCTCTAGCTCTTTCTCTCTCTCTGTCTCTCTGGGATCACTCATTCTGGGGAAAGCCAGCTGTCGTGTTGTGAGCAGCCCTGTGGAGAGGTCCCTGTGGTAAGGAACTGAAACCTGTCAACAGCCACATGAGAGAACTTGGAGGCAGCTCATGTAGTTTAGTCAAGCTGTCTGATGGCTGCAGCCCGACCTAATTGCAGCCTCCTGGGAGACCTTGAGCTGCAAGCTCCCAGCTGAGCTGCTCACAAATTCCTGACCCTCAGACACTGTGTAAATGTTTAAGTTGCTAATTTGGGGGATAATTTTTACACAGACAAACATAACTAACACAATATTGAAGCAAATCTAAGAATTTATCAATATATCAGGTTTTGGTGGGGATACAGACATGAAATTTTTTCTCAGTAGAAATAGTTTTCCCTGGTTCTTGCCACTAGAGGGCAAATGGTCACAAATAATGGCTTTTTCTATTTCCATACAACTCAGATGTCCGATGCAAACATTCTTAGAGACCATCTGCTCTGTTGCCTTACAGATGAGTATACAAATGCCCACAGACATTAACTTACTTGTTCAAGTTCACACAGGCTAGATCTTAACGTAAAAACTCAGCTGCAGTTAATAACATACAAACCAGCTATTTTTAAATTTTTTTAAATTTTTGTGATATACACCTGTACACCATACATCTATGTATATATATATATACACCTATGTGTATACATCTATACATAGGTTTATATATTTATGGGGTACATGAGATGTTTTGATACAGGCATGCAATATGAAATAAGCACATCATGGAGAATGGGGTATCCATTCCCTCAGGCATTTATCCTTTGAGTTCCAAACAATCCAATTACACTATTTAAGTTGTTTTAAAATGTACAGTTAAGTTATTATTGACTATAGTCACCCTATTGTGCCAATCAGTTAACTATTAATTAATGCTGCTATTTCTGAAAGTCACTAGGTACAAATAAAGAAGGCTTTATCTTTTTTATTTCAACTAGCATGTTAAAATTCCTAAGATCACAAAATTTATGATAACAACCATTGCCATTTATTGGGTACCTATTATGAACAACTTATTATACACATGTGCTACATGTCTTTTCATTTAATCTATCTAATGAAGCTTTGAAACTTACGCCTATCAATGCATGAGGGTCAGTGTCTTGTCCAAGGACACGTAGCTAGAAAGAAGGAAAACAAATTTGATTCTGATAGACGTTAAATCTCTTTGCAATATTTTTCTTAGGGCACAGCTCATAGCCTCTGATTATACCAGAAGTTTGTTGCTTCTGGAAACTTTTAGTATGTTGAGACATTTAAATGATTGCCATATAACATTGGAACAGAAAAGAAAAAAATTGATGACTCTCCTTCCCTTTTTCCCAGAAAAATTCTCTCTCTCTCTCTCTCTCTCTCACACACACACACACACACACACATATTGCCTCTTTCCTTCATTCTAGCAGACCAGCTTTGTGATACTGGTTAACCTTCCTAGAGCTTCATTTTGTTGCACCTTCTTCATTTCTAAAATAAGAATACACCTACCTCTTTTAAGCTCTCAGCAGGGATGCTGTGATGATTAATGAAAAAGTCTTCATGAATCTCATTTGATTTTGCAGAAGACAGAAGTTTAATAAAGCTGAAGAATCATTATAATGGTAATTAGTCATATTTTAGGACAGATGGGCAAGTGTCTGGCAGTGGTGGCTTAGCTGGAGCTGTTGCCACACCAAAGCAATAAAATAATGTCAATATGTCAGCCACATCAAGTCAGACGCAAAGAGGGTGCAATAGCAGCCTACTTCACACACTGCTTTGTTCATCATCTCTGCTTGGCACAGACTGGGACAGAGTTACAGCATTTCTAAGACAGACAGGCAGGCAGTTCGAGAAGAGCCACCTCATTATTGTGGCATATAATCTCCAAAGATAGCCACCACTGATAGCTTCCTTCCTTGTTGATATGCATGTTACTCCTCACACTAAGAGAGTGAGGAGCCCCTTGAATCTGGCCTGGCCCTGTGACTTGTTTAGATCGAGAGAATACTGTGGCTATGACTCTGCTAATTCTAGGTCCAGCCTTTAGAAAGACTGGCAGCTTCTGCTTCCTCTATCTTGGAAGAATGATGCAGGATAAGAAGTTCAAATACCCTGAGCCCATCTCACTATGAGAAAGCCCAAGCTAGCCATGTGGAAAGAGGGACAGAAACAGGCCTGACCAGCTCTCGGATATTCCAGTCATCCCAACTGAGGTTCTGAATGTGAGTGAAGAAGCAATCTTAGACATTTCAGCTTCAGTAGATACCATGTGGAGCAAAAGAACTGTTCAGTCCAGATTGTTTTTAAGCCATTGTGTGCTGGCATGTTTCTTATATAGCAATAGATATTTGAGACACCTATCAACATTTAAAATAGGGTCATATATCTCTTGATATTCTCTCTTTGCTAAATGAAGTAGAGGATTTCTTCAGAGAAATGAAATAAGGGAAAAACAGTAAGAGTTTGATACAATTGAGAGGATAGTTGCCTTTTAGAGGATACAAATTTTAGTTTTATAAAAGTCTGATTAAGATAGAGCAGTTATCTTTTCTTTGTTCACTCAGGCATTCATGCTCAAATATTTGTTGAATAAATATATTGCTTACTATACATCAGACATATGGATTATACACACACAGTCTCCAACTTACGATGGTTGGACTTACATCATAACCTTCATAAATTGGAGAGCCATCATGTTTTTCACTTTCAGTACAGTATTCAATAAATTGCATGAGATATCAAACACTTTATTATAACATAGGCTTTGTGTTAGATGATTTTTCCCAGCTGCAGGCTAATATCAGTGTCTGAGCACATTTAAGATAGGCTAGGCTAAGTTCTGATGTTCTATAGGTTAGGTATATTAAGTACATTTTCAATTTAGATTATATTTTCTAACTTATGATGGGTTTATCAGGACACAACCCCATCATAAGTTAAGGAACATCTGTAGGGCTAAGTGAGATGGATAATGTCCCTGATCTCATAGTGCTTATATCCTAATTGGGGAAGACGAATAACAACCAAAGCAAAAAGATAATTTCAGTTGGTGATAATGCAATTAATCTGGGGAAGGGTAATGTGATAGCATTATCAGAGTCTTTCTAAGGGTTCCCCACAATGCATTAGCAATAAACTAACAAACAGAAAAAAATAAAGAAAATGTTCATCCCGAGATTGTAATACAGTTTAATTATCTGTAACCTAATTAGCAGTTTCTGGGTATGAGTAAACACAATTCATGGTGTGGGCAGGGCTTTCCCATTTTGTGCTTTGAGTCTTAGCTTTGTTAACACTGAAACTGATCTGGTGGGGTAGATTTTTTTCCCCTACCTTATTAGCTTTTTAGGGAAGTAAAAATGGAATGTGCTAGCATTGGTGGTACAGGTACTTTGCTGGTCCACATGCAGTCTATTAACACCATTCCTAAGACACAGCCATTGATGTACTCAAAGAAAATGAGTTTGATGGGCACCTTGGTTGATTCAATGCCTTCACTATTGTGAATAGCACTCTGATGAACATATGAGTGCATATGTCTTTTTGGTAGAACAATTTATTTTCCTTTGACTAATGGAATTGCTGGCTCAAATGGCAGTTCTAAGTTCTTTGAGAAATCTCTGAACTGCTTTCCGTAGTGACTGAACTAATTCACATTGCCACCAGCAGTGTATAAGTGTCCCCTTTTCTCCATAGCCTCACCAGCATCATTTGTTTTTTGACTTTTTAATAATAGCCAGCTGAGGCCAGGTGCGATGGTTCACGTTTGTAATCCCAGGACTTTGGGAGGCCAAGGCAGGCAGATCACTTGAGGCCAGGAGTTCAAGACCAGCCTGGCAAACATGGCGAAACCCTGTCTCTACAGAAAAAAATACAAAAAAAATTAGCCAGGCCTGGTGGTGGGCACCTGTAATCCCAGCTACTCGGGAGGCTGAGGCAGGAGAGTCGCTTGGAGCTGGGAGGGAGAGGTTGCAGTGAGTGGAGATCGCACCATTGCACTCCAGCCTGGGTGACAAGAGTGAAACTCCATCTCAAAATAATAATAATAATAATAATGATAATAGCCAGTCTGACTGATATGAGATAGTATCTCATTGTGGCCTTGATTTGCATTTCTCTGATGATTAGTGATGTTGAGCATTTTTTCATATGTTTGTTGGCCACTTGTATATCTTCTTTTGAGAAGTGTCTCTTCATGCCTTTTGCCCACTTTTGAATGGGGTTATTTGTTTTTGCTTGTTAAATTGTTTAAGTTCCTCATAGATTCTGGATATTAGACCTTTATGAACATTTTATCCCATTCTGTAGGTTGTGTGTTTACTCCGTTCATAGTTTCTTTTGCTGTACAGAAGCTCTTTAGTTTAATTAGGTCTCACTTGTCAATTTTTGTTTTAGTTGCAAGGGTAGATAGGTTAATGAAATGTGGTACATACATGCCATGGAATACTATGCAGTCATAAAACAGAACAAAATTTTGTCCTTGGCAGCAACACAGATGCAGCTGGGGGCCATTACCCCAAGCATATTAATGAAGGAAAAGAAAACCAAATACCACATGTTCTCACTTACAGTAGGAGCTAAACATTGGGTACTAATGGACATAAAGATGGCAACAATGGACACTCGAGACTACTAGAAAGGGGAGGGCAAAAGGGTTGAAAAACTTAACTACTGGGTACTATTTTCAGTACCTAGGTGATGGGATCAATAATATCCCAAATCTCTGCATCACAAAATATACCCAGCTAACAAACCTGTAGATGTAGCTCCTGAATCTAAAATAGAAGTTGAAGTTATTTCTTCAAATGAAAATAAGTTTGAATTAAGAGAATCAAGGAACTAGATATTTTACAGTCCTACATTTCTGGAAGGCTTCACTTACTTAATTTCTTCTGAAGAAAGGGCATTTTTCATAAGAGAATTAGAAAGACCACTCTTCTTTTGCATACATAGCATGGTTCTCTGTGATATCCCATGAATGTTCTGTTGAGACCCTTCCACATTCTTTTGAAATTAGCAATGATTTCCTTGAAAGAGGAAATTCTGTCTTAATTTCTTCGTTTATTTATCCTCTCACACAATATCCTGCCCATAGTACATGCTTAATAAATATTTGTTAAATAAGTGAATGTCAGATTAAGAGACCAGTGTCTACATTTGAAACCCAGCTCTGCAACCTACTAGCAGTGTGATCTTGGTCAAGTTACTTAATTACTCTCAACCACTACATTGTTACTTTAAAATTAATATTAAGTTTCCGAAATGGTGACTCTTGATAAATTAGAATAGACACATAGCCATTGACAGCTAATGCTGGCAACACTGTGTGTGTGTGTGTGTGTGTGTGTGTGTGTGTGTGTATAATGTATACATATATACATGTATATGTATATATATTAGTTATATTTGTATTATGTATTTTAATTAATTTCAATCATTTGTAGGCATACATATATGTGTATGTACATATGTATGTATATATATGCACATGTGTATATATGCCTACAGATGTGTATATATACGCCTACATATATATACATGTATATACACACACGTGTATATATATGTGTGTATATATATATATATATATATACACACATATATATGTACACACACACACATATATATATGTGCCTGCAAATGCAATCCTTCCCTCATAGAGGTTATTTGCCTTTAGATAAAATCTGGGAAAAGTGAAGATCATTACTGCTAGAATTCAATTTGAATATATTTTTACTTAAATACTGACTTTTTAAACTTTGCTTTCTTCTAAGACAAATTTCTTAGTTGGCCAACAATAACTGGCAATGTCTAAGCATCTATGATAACTTATCAAGAGTCACCACTTTGAAAACTTAATAATATTAGTTTTAAAATAATTATGTGGTGGTTGAAGTTTATTAGTGGAAATGAGGCAGGAGGACAGAGGAAAGAAACAGCAAACTTGATGTATTTTATGACCTAAAGGTCTAATGCCAGAAGAGCTAATCTTACAATGCCTGTTCATGAAAAACTCATTGAAAAGTCCCATGATATTAATAAGTTAAATGTCCTTACCTACAATGAATCCCAGTAGAAATTTTACAATAAATTTGTCTTCAGTGAAAGGTACTAGGGTAGAGAAAGGAAAAAAATCACATAAATTAAGAGTTTTTGCCATTTTTTATGTTTGTCACATATTTGTGGACTAAGTAGATGAGGAATTATTGATATAGAATTCAACAAAATTCAATGAGATATAATTTTAATTATAATTATAATTTTAGAGCATAAGATTTATTTGGCAAAATGGGAACATATAGTGGTTGGGATGCACCAGTGTTTAAAAATGAATAATAATAAGATAATATTTTGGTTAGGACAATCAGCTTAACATCAAAAGCCATTTGTTTAGACTGTAATTTAACAGAAAATATAATGCTAATATTCAGTTTATATAATAATCCCTTTAAGTGGTAGAAATTATAGCCTTTAAGAGTCAAACCTCTTCTTTTTTAACTTCTAGGGAGAGCCTTATCTGCTCTCAAAAGGTCTTAAATAACCATCTGATCTTTCTAAATCTATATCAGTCCTAATTCTAGGGTGTCTCGTCCTTCAGCGAACATAAAAGTTTATAAATAGATTTAGAAATAGCAACAACAAGTGATTCCTCCTTCTAAAATGCATTGTTACCTTGGATAACAAATAACTGAAAGATTTCCAACTACTTGCATTCCTTTCTGACCAGGCAATCTGAGGGCATGCTCTAGCCCCCAGCCATCCAAATAGCAACTCTATTTGGAATAAAATTAGATAGAAAATTATCACTGTAACCTTGCAAACACTGAGACTACCCCACAGAAGTAAGCTGATAAAAACATAAGATAAACAGCAGATCCTAAAGATATGCCAAAAATTTAAAAAAGTGTTTTTATCGTTGAACTCCAGCTGGATATAGGGTACAAGGTGGAGAATATGAAAACTGGTTACACATTCCATACCACTCTAAACAGCTCAATGAAGATTCCTTGGGATTTATTATGACAGATACTGTTACACTTTCTTTAGCTCTCAACTTAAAAGCATATGTTTGGTTCAATCCCCACCCAGAATTACTGGGTTTATATCACTGTCAGGTAACCAATGTCTTCCCAGATAGTGGAATATGTTACTGAAAATATCTTTATTTGCCTTCACTCACAGATTCACACACAGCGGGGGCTTAAATGATCCTTAGTCCTGGGAAAGTGGGTGATGAGGGGGTCAGGAACGGCGCAGGTAGAAAAATGTTCTCTTAGTGGAATGTAGTATTGGCTGTTCACCCAATTTCTGCAGATGACCTAAATAACAATTGCCTTAGAGATGCTGGTAATTTGAAATAAAAATTACAACCTCTATCCGATGTTGGCTAGCATCTCTTGAACCATCTAGTCTTTTATTTATTCCATAAAAATATATCAAGTGCCTTCTCTGTTCCCCAAAGTGTACTGGGCCCTACAAATACTGCATTTAATGAGACAGATGTTGTTCCTAACCTGCATATGAACTTGCAGTGTAGACGTGAAGGGAGACACTAAACTACAGTAAACTAAAAAGCAGCGCTAAACACATGTTTGCGGTCAAGTATTACATATGGGACGCACATAGTGCTATGGAAACCTGTTATAGGAATGTCCTTACTTCTTCCAACTGGTAGAAAAGGACACCAAAGTGATCCTCATCTGGGTATCCCAGTGCAAATGACTTAATTTCCTGGGCTTTGGTTTCCTTGGATAAAAGTAAGAGGAATTGGAATAAATGATTTCTAAAGTCCCTTTCAGTGATAAGGTGCTGGAATCCTTTTCAAATCTTCCCAATCCCAAAAGCATATTCCAATGGCATATTCTCTGCAAGAATAATTTGAGGACTTGTTAATGACTAAGTGCAGACAATGGTTATGTCTTTGACCATCCCTAGAGTGCCAGCAGTGAAGCTTAATTTTAGAAACCTGGGATGCTCACTGACCTCTACTGGAAATACACTACGAAGAAAGTCCTTGTGGAATCCTGTAGGGTCTTACCATCTGTTTCACAAATGCCCCTTTTCTGTGTGCGTACCAAGCTGGGTAGGGGTACTATTCACTTCTGATTCATAGTGAGCTGTCACGTGCCCTAAAAGTGCTGTCTCAGAAGGTTGTATCCTCTCATTTTTCTCCCTTAAGTAATCAAGTAGATAAACAAAACCCCCAAATTATTCTTGTTAGCCTTTCATCACCAAAATAAGGGGAAGAGTCACATAAACAGAGAAATAGAAACCTGCTTATGTTTTCCATGGTTTCTGAAGTAAAGATGCAAATGACTTCTGTAGTAGATGCTGTAGTATGGCTCTTTCAATACCTTTTCCAACCCTTCTCTTGTTTTCCTCTATTATTGATGCCAGAAAATGGAAATGCTTAACTCTCAGTCTCTTTCAGGTCGTGGTAGCTCAATTCTGGCCTATAAGATGTAGAGGAAGTCCCTAGAAACCAAAAAGGCTTCCTATTGCTTCGCTTTTCTCATTCTTCCTGTTTGGAACAGGCATGTGATGGCTGGAAATACAGCAACAATAATGAAACTGTGAGGATGAAAGTCATGGTGAAGTTGATGGAACAGAAATAAAATGAACTTGGTTCTTTCATGACATATTAGAAAAGCCGCCTCAGCCTTGAACAATCTTCATTAAACCTGATATTTAAATGTTTACTGGGTTTTTGTTTGTCACAATGAATGTAATTCTAACTGATCAACTTCTAATAATAATAATACTGATTGTATACAGAAAGCTCATATATAGAAACTTCAGGGTGGCCTTGGTGCAGTTGGAAGTAGCCTAAAATTAATCAGAATATCTTCATACTGGTTTAGGTTGTATAAAATCATCCTTGTTATTTCACAGTATTTTATCTTCTAGGTATAAGATTTTGATCAATAACTATTAGAATATTCAAACTAAATGGAAAAGCTGCCAGTCCCTACATTTACTGACAAGAAGACTAAAATACTTTTAATTTTGAGAAGCTCAGTGTTGTGACCACTCTGAATTCAATGGTGAGGTGATGTTCCCCATTCAGAGGGATAGAGTCTAAGGCTAAAATATTTGTTTTTAAAAATGCAAGGTTGTCTCAAGCTACATATCATGGGGCATATTAAACAAAAGTTCCCACTCTGCAGAAAACATCCCTCAGATATTTAAACGTTTTGGGAATGTGAGGGGTTGTGACTTATTACACAAAAAGTTTTGAAAATATCACCACTCTAGGCTCTAGAGTCAGCCTACCTGGCTAAAAACCTTTGTAAACCCTTACTGGCAGTACAATTTTAACAAGTTATGGAACTTCAGTAATGTTCAGTTTCCTCATTTGTAAAAAGGAGTTATAACAACAATTACCTCCTAAAACTGCATCTACTGGATAATAGTTACATTTCCAGTAAATGCTATCAATTACAATTATTGTGGCAGAAGCTTTACCTTAAAGTTTGTTTATGTTTCATTTTTGGTTGCTATTACCTTTCTTTACCTGTGTTTAGGTTATGTGGGTCTTATGGATAAAAAGTCATCAGCAGTGTTTTTTAATAGATGATATGTAAGCCCACTAGAGTCCTTGGAGTCCTCGAAGCACCTTGAAGGCAAGAAACATTTTTGCCCAGTGTCCAGCACAGTGTTTGGCACATAGTAGGTGCTTAACAAACATTTGTTAAATAAACAAGTAAGTGACTGCTATGAAAGGAGATAAAGAAAATCCCTTGGGCAACTCATTACTTTACATTTATAAGGGGCCAATATAAATAATAAAATAAATAAAAGCTATATTTAGAGCATAAAGTACCCAATGTCTCTGTATACTAACTTCTGAACTCCTAGAACTTGTTTTTATCTACAGTGTTACTAGCATTTTGAAAAGATCTCAAATGCCTGGGCTTTCTTTGTTATTTATTAGTTTTGTTTGTTCTGTTCAAGTAGTATAGCAATTGTGTGGGAATTAAATTGAAACCGTATGAACGATGTGTTAAAATCTAACATGTTCAAACAGGGGAAAGCAGAACCAGACAAGAAACAAATTTCAAGTCTCAAGAAGCCAATTTTGTATTTCTGCAGACCCCACATATAGAATATAGGCACTGTATTAATAATACATTAATGCTTTTGTCTTCTAAAGAGTGATTTGCTCAACAATAGGCCTTCCTCGGCAGTTTTATGCTGTAGTTGACTGGCATGTATTGTCCTTAAACACAAAAATATAACTATAAATAAAAATGTAAACTGATCAGAGAAGGGAACTCAACATATGCCCCTGATTTCCCTTAGGCATGCTTGGGGATACCCACACTCTTGCAAAGAGAGACAATAAAACAATGATTTCAGGTGCTGTCACTACAGAACAGGTAGAATCAAGAAATTCCTGAAGACACTGAACTGCAATTTTCTAAACTTCAGGTTAGATGAAAAGTTGATGTCTGCTACCTTGTTGATATTTGACACATTCTTGGGTACTATATCTGTTATGAATTCCATTAGTTTTGTTTGGTTACAAATAACAAAACAAGCTAAAAAAGCTGCAGCTTAAAATACCTAGAAGATTATTTTCTTTCATGTAAAGTAGTCCAGAGATAAACAGTCCTAGATTGGTATAAACATATCAAATATTCTTAAATGTTTTCTCCAACTCATGCATTTTAACTAGAAATTTGGCAGACTTGAGCGATTCCATGTGATGGTGTTGCTATGTTTTGATTAAAATGAACTCTTACCTAATTCCAAAATGTATATTTCCCCTTAAATAACAAAGCATTGTCACAATTTATTATTTTTTTTTTTTGAGATGGAGTTTTGCTCTTGTTCCCCAGGCTAGAGTGCAATGGCACAATCTCAGCTCACCACAACCTCCGCTTCCCAGGTTCAAGTGATTCTCCTGTCTCAGCATCCTGAGTAGCTGGGATTACAGGCATGTGCCACCATGCCTGGCTAATTCTGTATTTTTAGTAAAGACGAGGTTTCCCCATGTTGGTCAGGCTGGTCTCAAACTCCCAACCTCAGGTGATCCGCCCACCTCGGCCTCCCCAAGTGCTGGGCTTACGGGCCTGAGCCACCGTGCCTGGCCTAGAATATTTTTAAAAAGCAATATAGAATGCTACATTGATTTAGGGACAAACATAACAGAAACATAAATATATTTAAAAAACAGTTTAAAAATGTGTTCATACATGCATGTGTGTGTGTGCATGACACGCGCGCATCCCAGGCTCACTAAATTGGAATTGACAAAGACTTTTAAATATGTAAGCCTGTTAGAGTAAGTAGTTAGACAGACATGAGCAGGGCAGAAGAGGGTCCCCCCACCACCCAGGAATGCCAGGTGACCATCAGGTGATGGTCAGGTAGTTGTTAAACTGTCTCTCTAAAGTAATAATTGGTCACACCTGGTGCCAGGGAAAGGCAGTCTCCCAAAGATAAAAAACACCCGAAGTTGGTGGTGAGCAGCTTCCTAATAAGATCTGAGGAGTTGGGCAAGTGGGTTCAAGCATGCACACTAAGAGGCAAAATGGCAGAGTTTAACTCATGTATAAACTTTCTCTAGGAACACGCGACTGATAAGGAAAAAAATGCCTCAAGAGAGCATGCGTACAACTTCAGTAAACACACTGTGCATGCAGCCCCTCCAAAATGCTGGCTGGCACATGTGGAATGCCAACATATAAAACCCCAAGTCAAAGGTAAAACTGGGCAGTTGAATCTCTCACGTTGCCCGCTTGACCCCCCTCCAAGTGTACTTTACTTCCTTTCGTTCCTGCCCTAAAACTTTTTAATAAACTTTCACTCCTGCTTTAAAACTTGCCTCAGTCTCTCCCTCTGCCTTATGCCCCTTGGTTGAATTATTTCTTCTGAGAGGGCAAGAAGTGAGGTTGTTGCAGACCTGTATGGATTCACTGCTGCCAACAATCCCATAATTTCTTTGTTAGAGTATCCAAATAGTATCCATGCAGGAGATATATTTTCCCACAAACATTTGTGAAAGGGAAATAAAAACTCAGGACCCCAATTCACTATGCCAAAAGGAAAAAATTAAACTGAAAGTAGAGTCATACAAGAAGCTGCCTTTCCTTTTGTTCCTAAGCAAATAGCTACAGATAAACCGTTATGTTCACCTTATCTTATGTAATGTGCTGCCAGATGAATACATAATTGACTATTCCCCTACCTGCTCCTATTTTCTTGCAACACATGGGTTACCGTACCCACCCTTCTTTCCCTCCAGCCCACTTTTTCCCCTTTAAATACTGAAGCCTTCAAATTCATCTTTGGAGAAAGGCACAGACCACACATTATTTCTGTGATTCCATGTTTTCTTCTTCCAGGTATGTCCTTAACCTTGGCAAAGTAAACTTCTAAATTGATTGAGACCTGTCTCAGATGCTTTTTGGTTTACATATTGTAGGTCTACAATGTGCAAATTACCTGCATATTGTCTGAGACATAGTTCTTGCCCAAAAGGAGCCCCAAATCCATAAATATAGAACTCCAAAGACACATGCTATATTACGGGTGGTAGGTACTATTACAAAAGTAAACCTGAGAAGAGAGGAGGGAGTGAGGAAAACCAGGGTGGCTTGGAACTTTCTTTGCCAGGTGGTGTGAGAGAGACAAGGGCTGCACAGAAGGGGATCTGCAGGGCCTGAGAGTCTTGTACTACATGGCAGAGAACCATTTCAGCCCCATCAGCACCCTTGAGGCAGTTCTGCCACCCCCATAAACAGAAGCTCCTAAACCTGGCTTAGGCGAGTGAATAGGAAAAGCCATCAGTGCTTAGCAGGCAGGCTCTTTAACATGCATTCATGTTGCTGGTCTGAATGTCAAACAAGGGACAGCAAGGTGTGACCCAGAGAGACAAAAATCACTGCACTGCCCCTGTTTAGGTCCTCTTCTGCATTCTCATTAAAACGAAAAATGTAAACTGAAATCTATCCAAGCATAAATTTCACTCAGTCATCCACAGCCCTGGGCTTTATGCCGAATTTGCTGATATCAATAAATTATATCTGTATCCTTCAACATTTTCAGTAATTCAATTTATTAGGAGACCAGATTTATCCACCTCCAGTTTTCAGTTCTATCCAGTTCATGTTTGGTACCCAAATCATTTCAGAGAGAGCACTACGTGAAGATGCAGGTGTATGCAAGGGCTGAAAACACAATTTGTTTCATCCTTCTAGGGATCAAAGTTATTTGCCAAGTATAGCGTTAACATTTGGGTGTCCAGCTTAAGGCATAAGACTTTTCTTAAGAATAATTTTTTCATTGCTTCTCTAAAAAAAAAAATCCAATATAATGTTGACTAGAAGATATTGTGCAATGTTTTTACATATCCTCCAATTAATCAAATATATACACATGTGTATATTTATTTTAAATTGAATGCCTATTTAGATTTTGTTTAGTTATGAAATATTTTAAGCATATGGAAAGCTACAGAAACAAAAGTCATTTAGTACCCAGTATCTACAATAACGTTTTGTCATTTTTTTTTCAGAGTTCCTAACCTTTCAGGCCCAATTACTATCACTATCTTGAGGGTGGAGAGTGTCTCTCCCATGCATACTTTTATACTTTTATTACATATGCATGCCTCACAATATCATACAGTATTGTTTTATGTTGATTTTAATTGATAAACATGGTATACTGAACATATTTTGCCACATGCTTTCTACTCTATTATTGAGATTTGTACATCATAGTACACACAGCTCTCATTCATTTTAACTTCTAACATGATATAAATATACTTTTATTTTGTATTGTTTACAGATACTTTTAATTATTGTTTTTGCTACTGTAATGAAACCAATGAACTTTTCTGTACATGTATTCTGCAATGTGTAATAATTTATCTGGAAAATACACTTAGAAATTAAGCAACTGGATCTTAGTTGAATATTCATCTTTCATAAATATTGCCAATTTTTGCTGTAAATAAATATTCTCTTTTCTCCACGTCCTCACCAACATTCAGTTTTTAGCCTTCAAATTGTATCAGTCTGATAATCACAGAATGGTATCATATTGTATTGCAAACAACTCCATCTAGTATGTAGTTTTTCTTTTTATTTTGTATGGTTTTCTTTGATGAATAGACATTAAAAATTTTCATAACTCCAATTTGTAAATATCTTTTTTATGATTTGATGTTTATGTATCTTGTTCAAATTTTTTCCTCTTCACAAACTATGATCATAAAATATTCTCATTTTTCCTAAGGCTATCAAGAATTTATTTTTACATATTTTTACATTTTGTCCCTTCAAATCGATTTTTGTGCATAGTGTAAAGTGGGAATCAAACTGTATTATTTCCAAATAAAAAAACCAATTGTCTCAGGACTATTGATTAAATTGTCCTTCCCTATGGTCTTGCAATGCTTCCTCAGTCATAGATTAAGCTTCCATATATGGGCTTTCTAGTCTGTTTCACTGGTTTACTTACTTATTCCCATACTAACACTATGCTTTTTAAAAATAATACATACTGAAATCTAGTACTGAGATTTTCTACATCTTGTCTTTTTTAAAAATTGCATAAGAAATTCTTGCTCCTTTGCTTTTTAATTAAATGTTTAAAATCAGTTCTGAAGTTACACACATACATACATGTCTTTGGGATGTTGGGATTGAGATTTGGTGTTGGGATTTGACTGTGTGATCACAGTGAATTTAACATTAATTTGGCAAGAATTGACATGATACCGAGTTTTTCTATCCATAAACATGATGTCGTCTTTCTGCTTATTTAAGCCTTCTTAAATGTCTTTCCATTATGTTTCATATACTTCTGCCCATTTTTATTAATAGATGTATTCCTAGGCCCCTAACAACTTTGTTCTTATATTAAATGATGTCTTGTACAATTACATTTTCTGCTATGGTAGACAATTAGGAATGTAATTGTTTGACTTTTATATATCAATATTATATGTAGCAAGCATTCAGGACATTCATTAATTCTATTAATTTGTCTACAGATTTTCATGAGATTTTTACGTAATTACAGAGTCTCTGTATCATGATAGTTTTTTCTTTCTTTCAAGTCCTTAAGCTTTTATTACTTTTTCTTGTCATACTGCCCCAAACACTCAATATAATGTTGACTAGAAATATCAAACATTGTTTTTAAATATCCACAAATTAATAAAATAAAACACATACATACATACATATTTGTTTATTTTTATGTCAGAGCCTATTTAGTCCTAATTACATGTTATACATTTCTTTGCTCACTACTGCCACTCTCTCTATGGATCCAGTTCCTTTCCTCCTGAAATATATCTGTTTTTTTTAATTCTTACCTAAAGAAATTTCTTTGTGTATAGAATTCTAGGTTCACATCTTTTTCAGCATGTTATGGATACTATTCACTTGTCTTCCTGCCTTTATTGTTGCTGATTACAACATGGCTATTGATCTAATAATTCTTTCTCTGTAGGTAATCTTTGATTTTTCATCTTGCTGCTTTTAAAATGTTCTCTTTGTCTTTAACATTTCGTAGTTTTACCACAATGTGTCTATATGTGTATTCTGTTTTCCTTATTCTACTTAGCACCTGTGTGTTTTCAGTCTGTAACCTCATGTATTTTCATTAGTACTAAAAATCTTCACCTGTTGTCTCCTTATATATTATCTCTTCCCCACTCTTTCTTTTCTCTCTTTGAAATTCTCATTAGAGTTTTATCTTATTCTGTACCCCAATTCTCTTAACCACTTTTTGATATTGTGTTTATGCTTCATTCGAAGCCATTTCCTTAGAGGTTTCTTTTAATTCACTATTTCCCTTTTTAGCTGTTTCATTTCTATACATTTTATTTGATTCTTTTTCGTATTTATCTGTTCTATTTTCAGTATCCTATTCTTCTTGGTTTCTAGTTCTTTTATCTCTTAAATACATTAAACGTATTTATTTTATAGTCTTTTTCAGATTGTTCTATTAGCCAAGCTCTTATACAATATTAATCCTCCAAATGGTTATCTCCACTAACTTTACCTAATAAATGTTCTTTGTGTAGTCAGTAACGTTTTTAAAATTGTGAGCTAATTTTTAGTTGAAGATTATTTTTCTAGTGTGGGATTCCCAAGCATCCTATTTTTTGAACTATTGGTACAAAGCATTTTTATATTTGCTTCTGCTGGTTACCTCAAGGTACTTATTGTTTAACAATGTCTAGAATCACACTGTTGGTTATTTCTCAATTAAGGAATTCTACACAAAACTAGTAATATAACTTCCATATCTGTATATAGATTTGCCAGTGGGATTTTTTTTCACTCAGCTTTAGACCAAGATAAGCTTTCTAGTGACTCATCTTGTAGCCTTAACAATGTTCCATATGTCTGTATGGGCATCTCAGTTACAGTATTTTAGTTCACAACCAAAAACCAAATTTGCTGTCCTAACATGGGTATTACCCAATCCTAACTGCCAATGAAGGATCCAACGAGATATCAGCTTACAAGGCTGTTACACTGGCTGTAAAGTTTTTTTTTTCTGATGATGATTTAAGATTTCCCTTTTAATTTTTTATTTAATCAGCTATTTATATGTGAGGGGTAGGTGTGGGGAGGGGTGTACACACACACAGGCTTGTCTATTTATTAGGTTATATTGTATATAGCATTTCCATCTATTTGTGATAAGAGGGGTTCCATACTAGGTTGGTCCACATGATTGACAGAACTAAGAGGTTTGATTAATTCATGAATACAGAAAAACTTAGATTACATGGGACATTCCTTTCTATGAAGCTTTTTGTATTTCTCCTATAGTGCCCAGTCAACTTATATAATCAAACAGATTTTCAGCCATGTGCTTATTACTGGCTGTATCCAGATTCTTGGATTCATCTCTAGTTTCTGGTTTCTCAACTAGGAAAAGCTGAAATAAAGCTTATTCATAAAGAAATGTGTTTTAAAGATTATTTAAATTGTAACAATAAATATATTGATGACACATCATAATAGCTATTCATCTTATGAAGATATCCAAAGCATAAGTCTTAGGTCACTGGAGGGAAATTAATTAAATCAATAAGGAGTAATTCCAACATGTCATTATTTTACAGGAGAATAAATGATTTTGGCTGAATATCATTTTTAAATAAAATATAAAATCTTCTCTCACTTTCATTAACAAAGTGTCCATCTCGTTAAAATAAAACTAATGAGTGCTTTTAAAAATTCTCATTTCCACAATTAATACAGTTAAGACCCCCAAGAATACTGATCTAATTTTGTTATTCAAAATTCTTTCTTTTTATATTATGAATCATTTCATTGTCCACATGCCAGTTACCACAGGAAACAAGAATAGTCCTTGATCAAAGAATCGCACAATCATAAAAGATATAAACATGTAAATAGAGTATTATATCTTGATATATGTTTGAGCTACGTTTCCAAAGGATGATGTGTGACAAACTACCACAATTCAGTACGATTCAGCCTTAGCTACGAAGTAGGGAGTGGAAGAAGAAATAGTGTGAGGCCAGGGCCTTATATTCCGTGCTAACAATTTCAAACTTTATTTGGAAGATGATTGAAAGCCATTGAACAGTTTTAAGCAAGGAAGTGACTATACAGTCATATTTCCTTTTAGGTAGATGATAAATTTGAAGGGCTGAATCTAGGGATAGGGATACCAGTTAGGAAGCTGTTTTAATATTCTAAGGAAGAATCAGTACAGATAATGGGTTGTCACAATAGAAATGGAGGTATAGGAAACAGAACTGAGAAATATTTAGGAAGTAAATCATTAGGGCTTAGAGACTCAAGAGATTTAGCAAAGAATATGAAGGGAAAAAAAGAAGTTACAGGTGACTCCAAGACTTCTGGCTTCAGTGATGTAGTGGATAGTGGTGCCATTAACTGAGATGAGGAAGACAGAAAAAGAAGCAGACATGAGGAAATTTATAAGTTTTTAAGTGCCTTCGGGAACAAGATATACAAGCACAGTGCTTAGGTGAGCAGGCAGGGCTACAGAATGAGATTTTTTTGCATCATTAACATATAGATCACGGTTAACTAAACTCTAGATAGCATCCATGTTTGAGAAGCAAATGGGTGATGAGATTAAAGTGGACTGTCAAGAGTGGGAGGAGAGTCCTATAAGCCAAAAGGGCAGATTTTCAGTATGAAAATATATGAAGTTGTGTGTGTGTGTGTGTTTTATTGCTAATGGTGGTCCCATTTAGATACTTCTAAGGTAATTCTATTCACTGTCTTCACTCTTTTTTTTTTTTTTTTTTTTTTTTTTTTGAGACGGAGTCTCGCTCTGTTACCCAGGCTGGAGTGCAATGGCACGATCTTGGCTCACTGCAACCTCCGCCTCCTGGGTTCAAGTGATTCTCCTGCCTCAACCTCCTGAGTAGCTGGGATTACAGGCATGTGCCACAACGCCCGGCTAATTTTTGTATTTTTAGTAGAGATGGGGTTTCACATGTTGGTCAGGCTGGTCTCAAACTCCTGACCTCGTGATCCGCCCGCCTCAGCCTCCCAAAGTGCTGGGATTACAGGCGTGAGCCACCGCACCTGGTCTTGTCTTCACTCTTTATAAGAATTCACCATCCTTAGCAGAAACTTTTATATGAAAATGCAAGTATTAAAAGTAAACAAAACTGAAATTCCAAAACATACCAGTTAAGGGAGTAGGTGGGGAGCTAAAGAGTGCATCAAGGATGACTTTGATGCAATATTTCTGGTGTTTCTTAAGAGAGCATATTCTTCAAGATACTAGCAACCTTGTCCATGAATGCAAAACACCACTGAGTAAATATAATTCTAGACAAGAATGAGAGTTTCACAGCTCATTTTTCTATCGGCCAGCAGGGTGCTGCCACTGTTGTTAATAGTCATTGTTAATGGAAGAACTAAAAAGCTCTTTTTGAAGAGAGAGACATCCCTTTATGCCAAAGTAACTGACTAAAAATCTATGCTATTAAGCAAATTAAAAACCAGGGGACAAATTTTAATTAAAAATATTTATAGCAAGTGGAATAACAGCTGCCAGTTTCTCTCACCACTCATGAATGTGTTTTGCAGCTGGCTATAATTCTCTCTTGTTTCAATCAGCTTAACCAATAATAACAGCTGTTCACTAGACAGGGGACATTTTATTAGCACCCATTTGATATGTAGTCACTGCTTAAGAAATCTTTAATATGAGTGATTTTTAAGAGAATCACACCGTGACTTGATGGATCATTGTCTAAAGAACTTTTCTGTTTCTCTAAATGAGTAAAAAATTCCTTTGACCTCTAAAGCATGTCCATCTTCCATAAGGCTCAAACAAGTCTATGAATTTCTTAGTCTAGTCATATAAATGTCTAAGAACATTTTAGACCACATTAAGCAAAACTAGGGAAAAAAACATAACAGGAAAGGGAATTGGGAGGAGGTAAGAGTGTATACAAGGATGACTGATGCAGAATTTTTAAGAGAGCATGTTCCTCAAGATACTAGCAATCTTGTTCTTGAATGCAAAACACCACTCAGTCAGGGCCTAATCACAGCTTTTGTTTGTTCATTTGGTTTGTTGTTTACTAAGTTCTCAATGTTTGTCTAGAAAGACATTGTGTTCTAGTTCATGAAAAACAGAAAAGTCAGACAAGGAGTCAATGAAATGAACTGAAGTTGCTTAAACGAATGACACACAAGATGACAAAACATTTAGTAAATCTACGACATATGTTAAGAGAGGAAACTGATGACTGATTTGAGGGGGATTCACAGTAGACTCTGCAGCTCAGAGCTTACTGAATAAAGGCAACATTGCCCGTTATATACTCAGGTGGAGTAAAACAGATCTGATTAGCATAGCTTAATAATGGAAGGAAAAAAATGTTTTCTTAAGAAAAAATATAAGATAGCTTATTAGAGCAAATCTTAACAGAATTCATAATCTTGCTACTAGAGGAGACAGCAAGAAAAAGTGCAATTGAAACTTCATTCTTATACACAGATCCAAGGTACCATATATGGGACATGCTCATGATTTTCAATGTTTTCAGGATTCCTTTGGAATATGCCTTTCTAAAGATATTCCCAGCTTCCACATATTAGAAACTTATCTGGAATTAAACTAGATACCAGAGGTCAACTGGACCCCTAGTTTTATTCCCTAAATGTTGTATGTATTAAACTTTTTACTGGAAGCATTTATTGAGTCATTTAAAAAAAAGATGACATTAAAAAGAAGTAATTTTTGGCTGGGCATGGTGGTTCATACCTGTAATCTCAGCACTTTGGGAGGCCAAGGTGGGTGGATCGCCTGAGCTCAGGAGTTCGAGACCAGTCTGGGCAACATGGTGAAACCCCGTCTCTACTAAAAATACAACAAAAAATTAGTCAGGAGTGGTGGCACAGGCTTGTTGTCCAGCTACTCGGAAGGCTGAGGTGGGAGGATCACCTGAGCCTGGGCAGTAGAGGTTGCAGTGAGCCAAGATCATACCACTGTACTCCAATCCTTCATATTTAAGTATGATGCTGTTGAGCAATCATTTTTAAAACAACATGAAACAGACTGAAATTGTACATGAGGATTAGAGAGAGCCAACCAGAAGCAGGAGACTGGATACTGGACCTGGAGACCTGAGTTTGAAGCACAAATTTCTTATGGCTGCCCATAGCAGCCCAAGTTTTGAAATACTTAATTGCAAAAATCAGATTAAATTTATAGTCAAAGGTCTGTCTCTTTACCAGACTTTTTTGAGGCAAGAAGGAAAGAAATGGCATTTTTTTTTTTTTTTTTTTTGAGACAGAGTTTCACTCTTGTTACCCAGGCTGGAGTGCAATGGCGCGATCTCAGCTCACTGCAACCTCCGCTTCCCGTGTTCAAGCAATTTTCCTGCCTCAGCCTCCCGAGTAGCTGGGATTACAGGCATGTGCCACCACACCTGGATAATTTTGTATTTTTAGTAGAGACTAAAAATACAGCCTGTTGGTCAGGCTGGTCTCGAATTCCTGACCTCACGTGATCTGCCCATCTCAACCTCCCAAGTGCTGGGATTATAGGCATGAGCCACGGCTCCCAGTCCATTTTTATATTTACATTAAAATGAAAAAACTCTACACAACTTTAAGGGCTTTTCATGCTCTGATTTTCTTCTAAAACTTTGAGTGCCTCCATCTGAGTTGCTGCACTAAATTTACGTGGAAGGCATAAAAATAGACAGGAAGCCAAATTTACATTTTCTATGGGCCAGAAAACTTCATTTTAAAATAGAAGAGAATTGTCAGGAGATAGGAATGAAGTCAGAGAAATCATAAAGGAGAGAAGCATCTGACGTGTGTGTGTGTGTATGTGTGTGTGTATGTGTGTTTTAAGGTGAAGGTAGAAAGACAAAATTAAAGGGAATTAGACAGAGTGAGAATTTGTAACAATGGGATGCTTTTATTACAATATTTCACTTTTATGCTTCGAACAACTGACTTATTTGAAGCAATTTGAGTTTATCTATTTTAGTGCAAAGCAAAAAAATACAAATATGGGGACTTCGAAATGGCAGCTTAACAAGCAGAAATGATAGCAAAATCCTTCATTCTTTCTGCTTTTCACTGAACATCCCCATTGAGGTTACTTACTGGCTGCTGTGTAATCCTCATGTTTGTAAAAGGATATGCTTATGATTTTCTAGTCAGATCAGAATAGAATAATCAATGTCTGCAAAGCACAAGTGGTTATCCCTGCTCTAATTCCATAAGCACCAGGTATTATCAATTAAAGATGTTCCTCTCAATCTGCTATGAAAAAAATTTACATGTTGGAAGCTGGTTGAATTTTGATTTATACCAAATTTACAGTTTTTTACATTTTCTTTCACAACCTGCTTTTCATGCTTGGATAAATTTTTATGAACATGATTTGCATCTTGATTCTTGAAGTTATGAACAAATCATAGGACATGAATAAAAAGGGATATGGTAAGGCTATATACATCTTCTGTTATGACGCTAAAGTTGTATGACATGTTACCGTTGCATGTCTCTTTACCAGTTTATTTTCTTTTAAACCACCTTGGATCTACATGACTGTGTTTACTTTTAATTCTACTGCATTTATTCTTTACATGCATTTAGAAAACGCAGCCATACTTTTATTAAAAGAGTACTCATAGCAGTTCTGTAAAAATTAATGACTCAAAGAGAAAGAAATAAGAAATAAGTGATTAGTTAGAAAGAAAGTTGCAAAGCATTCCTTTGTTTTCCTTACTTACTTCTAACTCATCTTTGTGGTACTCTCTGGATTGGTGGGGAGGGGTGGGTTGTAAAGATAAAGGATATCAAGGAGCCTAAACTGAAAAGAACCTGTGGAACCGGAAAGGTAAGTCAGCTAGAAAGGAAGAGAATAGATGTAATCAAATATAACTTGATGAATGTTAATTAGCTCTCTTACTTATAACCCAGTACTCTAATTTATTACAAAGCACTGAGTAGAAAAAAACCTGACATTTCCATTTTTCCCCTGTTTACTAGAGATACATTCTCTTACTCATTCAAACTAAAATTCAGACAAGCCTCAACTTCAGAAGTTTCTGAGTAAATTAGATATATTCAGTTGTTTATAAAGAAAGCCTATTGAATATATATAAAATTGCAAACTAGCTTATCAATCTTGGTCTCAGATTTGTTCTTTATGAATCTTTATATAAGCAAAAAGAATCTTTTACTCTCTGGTAGGAAACATATCTTGCTTCATGCACTTTTATGACACATTTGGAACCTTAGGTTATTTTTATTTGGTGATTGGCCAGAGGTTCAATTATCAACTTTGTTTCAAATATAACTTATTTAATTGTATGTTTCTTTTATCTTTTTTAATATTGGCAGTATTTAACAACCAGATCTCAATTAAAAAAAAAAAGTAAAACAATTGCCTTCACAAGGCAGCACGAAGTGAGTTCAGCACATCCCAGGGAGACCAGGAAAAAGAAAACAGGCATAAAAAGCCATGAGAATATTTAGACAAGGCAAACACAAAAACTCCTATGCTATGTGAGTCATGTATATAGTGGACCAATTTTATGTTCATTAATATTTATTGAGAACTTATTAATGTCAGGAAGCTCTTTGTGGAATTTCTTATGTGTTCTTCACAATAATCTTATGAAGTTGAATCACTATTAGCCCTTTTTAATAGATGAAGAAACAGGCATAGAGAAGGAAAACAATTTTTCCAGTGAGGGGGCAAGGAATAATTCCAGTTTTATTTGACTCAAGAGCCCATGCTCTCAACAAAGGTATATATCAACTCCCTTCATGCCCTGACGAGAGACTTCACATACCCTCAAAGTCACTCACAGCCCTGACTTAAAAGAGCAGTGGATTTGCTCCTCCAACAAGAAGGTCTAAATTAGCAAACATCATGTGGAATAAGTAAATTACAAAGATTGAAACAAGCATCTTCACTTTGACCCTCTTCCATCTAAATTCTAAGAAAGCATGTACATACTCCTCAGATGACTACATCGTTCACTTTCATGTACTTATTTTCATCTGCACTTTCCAATTTCTGAAGAAATAAACACAATTTAGTAAGATTAAATGCTTTTTTTTTTTTTCATTTCCTAGGTTTCCAACAATTGTTCTGGGAAGAATGGGCTCAGTTCTCCCTCTGCTTGTCAGAATGATTAATTAGATTTAATTTCATGCTGTCTCCTCTGCTGTCTTTTCCCTCTCTCCAATGACTAATAACTCTTCTACAAAGTCCAAACAAATGGCCTCCGTATCTAGTTTTTATTTTTGGAAGTTTTCCCCAGCCAAAATGCATAGAACCTCTTCACAGACAGCAGCTTAGAAATTCCTGGCTAGGATTCCTGCCCTTAACAGTCGCACTTGATACGGCTAGATGGCCCGTTGACTGATATCTGGGGTGGCATCATGCCAGCTCAAAAGTTGTCAAGCCATTTGAATCAAGAATCAGCACTAGGCAGTGAAAAATACGGATGGGCAGCCTGCGAAGCAACTCTGTGAGGGGCCATATCTTCTCCAGGAAGTACCCTTGTGCCAGCACTAAAGCATTAACACCACGTGTCTTTTTCTACACTTGACATCTGTGGACACTTAGAGTGTGTGACAAAAGGAGGAAGAGAAGGAGGATAGAAAAGACAAGAGAGTTTATAGGTGTGGCTAGCAAACCATAGAGAGGGATTCTGGTGGGGGCCCAGGAGTCCATTAGGAACCCTGCCTTACTGACTATTTATCATGTTATGTGAGAATAACAGGTGCCTCATTTCAAGGCCAGGGCTTAAGCACAATTGAAGGAAGAGGCTGGGAATGAGCAAGTCAAATCTCTGTTTCTAGCCATGCCACAGACCTTTAAAAAGGGGAAAAGAGTCCATTACTCATTATACCACGTGACCACCAGATGAAACCTTAGGGTGGGAAACAGCCCCTTTCCAAGACACAGACACAAAGAAATCAATTTAAACATGTCATAAACCCAGATCACTGGCATCCTGAGTAGGTGAGAAGACACAGCTGTTTGGACAGTCCCAGACATCCAGATGAATTTGACATAGCTTTAATAAATTCATCAGTAAAATGAAGATATCTGGTAGTCTAAATATGTGTGTAAGCATGGAAGGACTTCAGATTCAGGCTTTGTGGGGCTGAAACACTGCCTTGTGGCTAATTTAAGGCTCACAAAGTTTAACAACTGGCCAAGTGTCATTTTTCAGATAATCCTCAATTTCCTCAACTGTAAACTGAGAATAAAACTAAAACATACCTCACAGTGTTGTGATTAGGCTCAAATGAGATGATTTCTACAGAGCACTTATTAAATGGTAAAGTCCATACAAATGTATCATTGAGCATTTTAGAGTAGCTCACTCCTTTGTAAACATGACTTATGATACTAATCTCTATCACTGATAATTTTTCAAAATCATATACAAAACACAGCTTATGAATCATGACTCTAGTATTGGTACTACAATTGTTTTTAAACTGGTAATGTTTCAAAAGTAGTCATCTTGGGATACCATGTCTTCAATTTTTTTTTTTTTTTTTTAAACAAGATCTCACTCTGTTGCCCAGGCTGGAGTGCAGTGGTGCAATCATGGCTCACTGTAGCCTTGACATCCTGAAATCAGGTAATCTTCCCACCTGAGCCTCCCAAGTAGCTAAAACTACAGTCTCACACCACCGTGCCTGGGTAATTTTTATTTTGGGTAGAAATAAGGTCTCCCTATGTTGTCCAGGCTGGTCTCAAACTGCTGGGCTCAAGTAATCCTCTTGCTTCGGCCTCCCAAAGTGTTGGGATTACAGGCATGAACCACCACGCCCCATTGAGATACCATGTCTTCAGACTAACAAGGAAGTCATTTCACTTCTTAAAAGTCATCCTGTTGAGTTACCTTTGGAATCTATATACAAACTGAGGAAAAAAATCAATGCTCACTTATGACCCAAAATAGCATCCACCCTATTTACCTGACAATACTTTGTATGCCTTTTGGCTCAGATCCAAAAATCAAGTTTATACTCAAAGGAAGATAATTTATATTATGCTTCATGGTTACAATGTCACATAACCTTACCATTTGTATCTACTTGCAATTCTTTAGACTAGGCTGGTTAGGTTCAACCAAGCCTGGCTTATAAAGAACCTGAGGGAGAGAGAGAGAAAGAAAGAGAAAGAGAACGAGTCTATACACTCTGATGCAAACTCTGATTTTTCTGTCTCCAAGGGGATTTCTTATCCCAGAGAGGAATTTTCCCCGTTCCTTGGGTTGTTCTCCTAATCTATCAAATCCTCAAATCATTAAGTCAGTTCTAAAGTGTGGTTGCAAAAAATGCTTTGAACAATGGTAACACCGTTGGCATGTGAATATAGTCTCCCAGAAAAGCCATATTCAAATTTCTGACATTTTCACAAGTGTAAGTTCTGATATATTCATTTAAAAGTCTGTTCGAATTTGTATCTTAAAACAACCTTGTGTGTTATTTCTAAATCTCTTATTTTCAAAAGAAACAGGCTCAGAAGGTTTAGGGACTATAAATATTCATTGACATTGGTTCAATTGCCAAATCAGTATTACAGTAAGTCAGTATCAAATCATGAAGAAATACACAATGAACTCAGAAGCATGGTGGAAAAAAAAAAAAGCCCCTATGTGTATGGCGTTATCAATGTAAGGTTATTTTCGCATTTTGGACATATTTTTCAAACTCAGAAATTCATTCCATATTGATTCTGTTTTTTCATAACATGCCAAAATGAAATTCTAAAAACTCAATGTTACCTCTTCAGAGAAGCCTTTATTCTCTCTGTCCCTCCAGACTATAAATGGTTTCTTTCTGTGTTCCACCAACACTTGGCTTATGACTTTTTTTTAACATTGCCACATTACTTTCTAGTTGTTTATTTGTATCAATCTCCAATTTATACACTATGAGTTCCTTGAGGGCAGGGGCCCCTTCTGGTTCCTCTTTTCTAGCCCATAGCATGGTGCCCAGTACATAATAATATGTTCAACAAATGTTTGATGATTGAATATATGCAGAAAATTTAAATTATGAGACAGTGTAAATAAATAAAAAGGAAAAGGAGTTTACAACATATAAACACACAGCCAGCCCAATCAAATGATTATCTATCTATCGTCTTCTCTTTATCTCTCAGAAAAGTGTCAGGCATTTTGATTCAGAAATTCTAAACAGCATGCAGCCATAGCCACCTCAGAAGGACCTGAGCTGAGGACACCACCTGAGGATTATGGTTGTTAATAGAATTATTTTTAGTCCCTCTGTTTAGCTGAATGCATTCCTTTGTGGGGAATTTAAAGTGCTTCATTCACATGTCCGCTTAATTGTCACAATCCTGTGGCTGTGTAGGGACAAGATTAGCACTGCATTTCATGAATGAGGAAGCTGGAGAAGGTTGACTCATTCAATGCCACTCAGGTAGCTCTTAGGAAAGAGAAGATTGGAAATGCTTTTCTTATTCTTGGTGTTTCTGCTGTGTGGAACTGCCACTGATTTTAGCATCAGAGTAATCAAAGCTTGACTGCCACTGAGAGATCCAAACATTCACAAACCTGAGAGTCTTGGTGGCTAAACTGCCACAACCAAGAACATACTGAGTCAGATCCTTTTTACCTCCTAATATGTGAGGCCTGAAGCTCAGTTTCTGTGAATTCCTTCCTTGGAAACAGCTACATAATTTTCAGGGCCCTGTGCAAAGTAAAACTGCATGCTCCTTGTTCAAAAAGTATGAAGAATTTTAGGAATCTTTCTGCAGATCATTCAATGAAGCATGCAGGGCATTTCTGAGGTTCCTCATTCAGGCAAGTAGCTTTTTTCTTGCTCTTCTATCATCGCCCAGATCTTCATCAAGTTTTACTGAACTATTACTCCTAATATCTTCTATCTTCTTTACTTGTTTTCAGTAACATTATTCAGTGAACCTCTATGCTGGCATTGGGATGAAATTCCTAAAATAAAAATCTGTTGAGGTCATTACCTTGTTAAAAATCTTTCAAAGATTATTTCTTATCTCCTGGGTAAAGTAAAACTTCTTATGCTTCTCTTTCGGTTATTTACTGGCATATAAAAAAACACCCAAAACTCAGTAGCTTAAAACAGTCACTATGTATTTGCTCACAATTCTGGGTTTGGCAGTTGAAGAAGAGATCAGCTGGGATACTTTGTCCCTGCTCCCTAGGGTATTGCTGGGCTCACTTATGTATTTTGTGGTCAGGTGACAGTTCAGCTAGCGACTAGCTGGTCCCAGATGGCAGTTGACTAGGGCTTTCAACTAGTGTGCCTCAGTTTCCCTCCACATGGGCTCTCCAGCGAGCTGGCTGGGATCTTCTCATAAGGGAGCTGGATTTTAAGATAGTAAAACTGAAAGCTGGAAATGCCTCTTGAGGCTTCAGCTCATAAATTGCACAATGTCACCTCTGCCACATTTTATTCATCAAAACAGATCATGAGACCAGCCCAGATTCAAGATGTTGGAGAAATAAATTTTACCTCCTGAAGGAAGGAACAGCAACATTACATTGCAAAGAGGATGTCTACAGGGTTGTGAGAAATTTGTGGCTGTATTTTGTAATACCTTAGTAACACCTTGCCTTGCATTCTTCATGACCTACACTTACTGACCTTTCCTTCTTTGTCTCCCGTTACTCTCAAAACACAATATTGTTTTGGTAATTATGATGATAATGATAACAACAACAGATACAGACATTGATATTATCTTTGTGTCAGGCATCATAGCTCATGTGCATGTATCATGGCATTTTATCCTCCAAATTCCCTATAATGCAAGTAAATGGATATTTTATCCCCATTTTAGAGATGAGGAAACCGAGACATTCAGGAGCTTACTAGGTCTCACAACAAAAAAGAACCTAAACTGGGATTCAAACTCAGGTATGCATGATTCCGACATTCGTTAACATTGTATCATGCCACACAGCTATACCAAAGTGTTTCTCTTACTTAATGTGTACTCACATGCCTTTATGACATTCACATGCTATTCCCTTTGCCTGAAAAAGCCTATATCTATCTCTTTCCTTGTCTTCCTTTTCTGTTTCATCCCCTTCTTCACACACAACAGAAAAGCACATACACAACTCTTTATGAAAACGTTTCTGATTCTCCCAGGCAGAGTTAGGTGTCCCACTGTGTGCAGATCTGCTTATCTGTTTCTTCTTGAGCATTTACCTTTTGACATAGGAATATTGTCTTATTTTTCTTTCTTTTTTTTTTTTTTTTTTGAGATGGAGGCTCACTCTGTCACCCAGGCTGGAGTGCAGTGGTGTGATCTTGGTTCACTGCAACCTCTGCCTCCCGGGTTCAAGTAATTCTCCTGCCTCAGCCTACTGAGTAGCTGGGATTACAGGCGCGTGACACCTCACCGGCTAATTTTTGTATTTTTAGTAGAGACGGGGTTTCACTATGTTGGTCAGGCTGGTCTCGAACTCCTGACCTCGTGATCCACCCGCCTCGGCCTCCCAAAGTCCTGGGATTACAGGCGTGAGCCACCGCACCCAGCCTAAATATTGTCTTATTTTTCTATGCAACTCTCAGGATTAGTATTTACCTTATAGTCATTGTTTAATAAATGATTATTGAATGGAACTTTTTAAAGCATGCTAACTTTGATAATAATTAAGATTATAGTCAGGCTTGTTGATAATTTTTACTGAAATAAGCAATCGAAGTAGTTGAAATAGCCAAAACAATTGTCCATGTAGAGTTTCAGACAATCTTTTGCCGGTGCCAGTTGCATTAGACCATTCATTCATTTATTCAATTATTCAGGCTTTTACAGGACATTGTGTACTTTGACAAGGCATTCATGCATTCAGTCACACATTAAGAAAATTAACAGATGTAAAAATGAACCAGTCTTATGTTTAAATAACACTGGATTTTCTATTTTGCTTTGTTTTGTTTTTGTAATCAATATAAACTACAGTCTAGATTAGCTAACTTAACACCCATTCCCAACCCTGTTCTTTGCTTGATTACCTTCACTATCGAGGCTATAAATACTATGTACTCACTTTCTTAGCCTCGCTTGCAGATGTGGGTAGTCATGTGGTACAGTCTTGTCAATGACACATAATTTGAAATACGTTAGAAATTGTTTTGTGAAAATTTTATTTTCCTCTTTAAATAAAGACTAGACACTCATTTCCCTTTCTCCCTGCTGTGAGTACAGACATAGTGCCAGGAGTTGTAGCAACCATCCTATAACCATGACAAACAACCATCATGCTATGCACTGCAAAGTATTAAGACAGAAAAAAACTAAATCCCCCATGACACAGTTGAGCTGCTGTATAAGCCTCCTGACTCTCTACATACAGACTTTATGCCAAGTGAAAAGGGAGAGCTCTATTTGTTTAAACCACGATTGGTCAAATTTTTTTCTTACTTGTAGCCAAATATATCCCTACCTAAGGCACATACAGTTTGGCAATACAGTGTGGAAATTACCTAAAAGGATGTGTGTGTTTTGGGGGAGGGGATTATTTTATTTAAACAACAACAGTGTAACATGAGTCTATAAGGGCAAAGATACTTGTTTTGTTTTGTTTTTATTCACTGTAATATCTCCACAACTTAGAGTAGTAACTGGCACATAGTAGGCATTCAATAAATATTTGCTGGCTGAGTTAATAGTATAAATGAGGAGCTGCCTCTTGAATTGTGTATCCTAGCTTCGCTTCTGCAAGGTGTATTTTAGCTGTATACCTTAAATGGCTTTCTGAAACCTAACAGCAACAAAAGTTTCATGCAGCCTCTGACCATAAGAAGAAGCTTCAGGCATCCTCAGAAGAAGTCAATAACTATAAGAGCTTCTAAATCTGGTGAAATCCTATTCCCGTTTTATTATAATATCATAAAAGTCAATTTAAGGGGATACCTGCAAAGGATCTGAAATCACAGCTATAGTGATGTTACATTTGACCTGGGTTCACCTGCTGCATGACTCCGTGTGCACAAATCCCTCATGCTATCTCTCCGACAGGATGTGATCTGGTAAGGAGGCTTTGGAAATGTAGTCATAACATTTGCAGTTTATTGCCTTCTCTCTGTATTCTTCATCAGAGAGATGACAGAGGTTCATGAGGCAGAGAAGTGTTACTTGTTGAACTTTGGGCTTTATGTATGTATACGCAGGTATTTTACTATCTTTCGCATCCAACAACTCTCACTAGATCAGAAGCAACAGATGACATTTGAGTGAATTCTATACTTAAATAATTCATCATGATGCATTATTTCTTCATCTATCTTCAAGAGATATTTTTTAAAGAAGGATCCTTCCTCTTGTTGATCCACTCTAACAAAAATATCTTGCTTTATTTTCAGCACGTAATAGGTCTTTGAGAAAATACTTGTTGTGTGCACAACTAAATTATAAGCTGTCAATGTAAAGAAAAATATGTTAATGTTAATTTAAATAACTAAGAATGAAGTTCATTATCGTGTCAACAATTCATTTGTCACCTTCTGAAAAAAATATTGTCAGAATCACTATTATTCCTCCTTATTAGAGATTTCTAATAAAAGGTCCATGATGATCCTTTAAAACTAGTCCTTTGCCTATCTTCATAACGACTTTTGCTTTATAGAAAACAATACTAGTTATGTGATTCAAAGTGGATTTTTCTTCTAGAATAGTCCTGCCTATAATGTCCAAGGAAGAGCAATTACTCTTTCGAGAACCATCTGAACTAGTCCAACAATTTGCTTGAGGAAAGCTTGAAGTATTAACCTGTTCTCACTTTGTTTTTTAAAAATAAAAACACATGTGGTAGTAAGAATTCAGTTTCCATGAATGTGCTGCATGCTGGTCAGAAGACATGAAGTCCTTAGATTTTTTTATAAGAATTAATACGCATTATGAAGGCCTTTTAGTTCTCCATTTACCTTGGGAGCTCACTAGCTCTAATAAGTGCAATAGTAAACTTTGACATTTCTCTAAATTGTGCCAGGATGTTAGCTATGAGAAACATGTTTGGAGGTTATTTGCCTCATTTTTCTCCTTCCTTTTGCTTTCCACTCAGTTTTCCCCACCTTGCACACAGGTCTGTTTACCTAACTTCGGAGAATTTGTGCTTGGTTTGCTTCAGCAAAGAAGTAGTTGGATTCCTCTATTGATTTTTGACCCCCATTCTAACCTCAACCATCACCCTTCTCTAGCCCAAGGGAGACCTGAGCTTTGTTTTTAAGGGAAAGGGCAATGAAAAGTCAACGCACAGGTCAGGGACAGGCAGTAATGAAACACTGGGATCAGGTGGCAGCAGCTTCAGCTCCTTTCACAGGACACTGAGCAAGAATGAAGACTCAAGGACACCATTCAGAGAAAAGCAGATGGTTTGTATCAAGCGCTTGGTTATGCTCAATCTCCTATCAGCCATTGTTGTCTTGCAGAAACATTTCCAGCTACGCAACTGGCCTGTTTTATGGAGGGACAGAGCAGTTTATGGTAGAGATGCTCTGTAAACTATTTTTATAACCTTGAAGGACATTAGATATAATCTATGAAGCAATGAAAGGTATGAGTGTTTTGGAGATTATCCCCCAACATTAGCTTCCCAGGAGTACCCCTTTTACAAGTCTGTGGTTTATGCTCCTTTGGGCATGGATGTCGGATCACTATTTTGGGAACTGACAACAATAACAGCCAGCTTGACTGTGTTCATACTCTCGAGTGTATATAAGCATCCACAAAATTTGGCTTCTTAATGTGAAATGACACCTGATATGAAACTGTCCCCTAAGAAGGTGTCAAACACAAAAATTCAACGGAAGCTAGGAAGCATGCGTCCAGCTGAATGTGCACACTGAGAAAAGGCTTTTTCAAATGTAGTAAAAGGAACTAATACAACTGAACTCTGTAATGAATTTAAATCTAATACAAGTGAACTCTGTAATGAATTTAAATAGTCTACCGTATGTTTTATTAGAAGAATGTCATTTGGGGCTTGGTTGGTGGATAGAAAGTTTTCTAGAGGCCGTGTCAAAAAAAAATACAAAAATATATAAAAGAATTTCTGATGTTTATTTAGTGTTTGTGAAGGTCCAGATACTATGTTAAATATTTTTCAAGCCTCATAGGTTCATAATTAAATTCTTTAAGGAAAGAAAGCACTATTATGATCTCCATTTTACTGTAAAGGAAATTGAAGTTTAGAAAGGCCAACTAACAAATGAATGCTTAACCCAGGTCTATCTGAATCTAGTGCCCTAAAATCTTAACTGATAGGCATTGTTGAATATTTACCTATGATTTCAAAGCCAGGCATTATACTAAATGAAACTAAGAGATAATAACCTGGAAAATGTGAATAGTCAGAACTATTCCATTAAACAGCCAGTCAGAGTTGAGTTATACAAGGATTCAAAGAAATGTATATGTGTGCTTCACACAGAAATTAATTTCGGAATGGCCAGTTTGTCAAAAATGATAGCTTTTTTTTTTTTTTTTAAACAAGAGTCTTGCTCTGTGGCCCAGGCTGGAGTGCAGTGGCATGATCTCAGCTCACTGCAACCTCTGCCTCCCGGGTTCAAGCAATTATCCTGCCTCAGCCTCCCAAGTAGCTGGGATTACAGGTGCCTGCCACCACACCAGGCTAATTTTTTTGTATTTTTAGTAGAGACAGGGTTTCACCATGTTGGACAGGCTGGTCTCCAACTCCTGACCTCAGGTGATCCGCCCACCTTGGCCTCCCAAAGTTCTGGGATTACAGGCGTGAGCTACCGTGCTGAGCCAGCACTCTTTTTGAAATACTAATTTTTAAAAATAGATGAACTGTGCCTTTTTTCTTCTTTTTTTGCATTTTATCACAAGCTCATGGATCTATGCTATACTACAAGCCCATTTCTTTCATCTATTCAGTGGTTTCTGATGACCTAACACTGTTAGGTAAAGGTGCATGTGTTGCCAGTAATTTTCTCACCAAGAATTACTTTAACTTATGTGGTTAAAGGTGTCAATACCTTCCCAGGAAAAGCACTGAGTGGGTTAGTGGAAGGCACACACTTATCAAGCAGCAGTTCTTGAGCAGCAATGCTTGTTGTAAAAGTGCTAATATTTATTTTCCACACTAGAGGACAGTGCTTGAAAGAGTAACAGTCCTTACCTCAAAGGTTAGGCAGCACCAAGACTGGAACAATCAGACCATTATTAGCTTCCCTAACCCACGTGCAGAGCACATAAAGATTTTATTTCTTTGGGAGAAAAAAAGAGAAATAAATATGTTTGCTCTAACATGCGGCAGTAATCAATGATGATGCTGTATTAACTTCCTGGGCACAGAGAAAGAGAAATGCCAGTAAAATTTACTAATTAGAATTGCCAAAGAATGAATGAAAGAAGACATCTTTATAAATGCACATGAAATCCTTTCACAATAAGCTCTTAAAGAAAGAATTTTTGTTGAAGCTGTGACTAAATGCTCAGAAAAATAATCTGATGTTTTGGGTTGATTATCATTAGAATTCAGTGATGAAAAACTTATTTACGTAAACATCTTGTTTTCTCTCATCAGTATAATAGTCATACATGCTGTAGGGTACAAAATACAAGGCCCAAAACATATATGTAATGTTATTTGATGGTTAAGTTTTGCCCTTGGAAGCAGGAGATGGGTGTTGGAGAGGGAGTGGTTAGTGGTGTTTGAAGATGGATTTCAATACTATAGAAACCCCTTTTGGTTTTACCTGCATGAATCTTCAAGCAAGAGTATCACTAACTACATAGACTGTCAAAAGGGAGGCATTGTTTCCTTAAGCCATAATTAAAGACAGTCCCTCGCCTTGACGTTTGCTTGAACAAGGACCATTGGGACCCTGAGGGATTAACTCAGCATTCATACTTTTCAAAAGGGGCTGGTGGGAGTAAGAAAGAGGAGGAATATGAGAGACTAATGAAAGATTTCATTGAAGGGCACCAAATCCAAGACTTCTCATTGTTCCTGGAGCCAGCCCAGGTGATTCACCAATCAGCCAGTGGAAGGGGCTCTGTTTTACTGAACTGAGGTGGGTGTAGTAACCTCTACTTTCCCATTCTCAACATCTGACCCTTTTCTACTTCACTGTTACCCTCATCTTCTGTTTATATTGATTGCCTACAGTGTCACAGAATTGAAAAATACTGGGGAGCCCAGCACACTCCTGGGTACTACAGCAGATTACACCAATTTTAAATCTTCTCCCTGCCCTGAAGGATATATGGATACACTCGGTAATAGAAAAGCTTACCGTCTAGTGGAGAAGATGCCCCGATACCCAATCAACCATCCCCTCTCCTAGCGTGAGAACAGCCCTATCTGAGCAGTACTAGGTATTCACTCCTATTCATTTTCTACCCCTGACTTGAGGACACAGTCCTGGGGACAGTGACCCCAAGATTTCTCTCTTTCTTTCCTTCCTTCCTTCCTTCCTTCCCTCCCTCTCTCTCTCCGTCGCTCCCTCTCTCTCTTTCTTTTCTTTGAGTCTTGCTCTGTTGTCCAGGCTGGAATGCAGTGGCGCTATCTCAGCTCACTGCAAACTCCGCCTCCCAGGTTCACTCCATTCTCTGGGACTACAGGCGCCCGCCACCATGCCAGGCTAATTTTTTTTGTATTTTTAGTAGAGACGGGGTTTCATTATGTTGGCCAGACTGGTCTCAAACTCCTGACCTCGTGATTCACCCACCTCGGCCTCCCAAAGTGCCGTGACCCCAAGATTTCTAACAAAAATCACCACAGTCTGGAATATCGAGAATTTTGTTCAGCCCTCTGTAGCTATGTGACCCTGTACAGCCCTGCCCAAGACAACTAACTACTCTGTACAACACAGTTTCCTCTTTGCAGAATGAAATTACAGATGTAACCACATCACGGGATTAGTGTGTGAGTGGAAAGGAAATAAGGGTGGGAACGACCCTGATGCCCATCACAGAGCTCTTTCTGTTGTGGATCCTTCATGAGCTCATAAAAGTCACTAATTTCAAAAGAACAGGCTTTATTCAGCCTTCATTTGGGATGTACAAAATTTTGGCCCCGGATGGAGACCTGATTATTTACATTCCAAAGGATCTTCAACTTTAAAACCTTAACATAGCATTTTTTTTAAAATGAATTAGCTGGAGTTGTAGAATACTAGATCTGGTTTAGATTTTAGAGCTGTTTTAGGTAGTCTCCTGGTGATCCACCTCCATATATAAATAAGGAAATAGCAATTGGGATGTTTTCCTTGGGCTAAGAGCAATTTTTTGGAAGAGCTAGTCTTAAAACCAAATCTTCTGATTCTCAGCCCTGTTGGTTGGTCAGCTAATAACTGTAAACACGAGATTAGAATCAGACATATATAATGATAAAGTGGCCTAAAACCATCACATTATTCAATGAGATTTGCTTATTAAAGAAATCTACATTGCATACCCATTCAGAAATATATTTATAAGAAATACTGAAGTACAAACAGCAAGAGGAACCAAAAATGTGTGCACAAATGCAACCAACATCAATATGCCATCACCAGCCATCCAGGTTATTTCTAGTCTTATCAAAATCAACATAGCAATAAAATGTCTCCTTGTCCTTTCAACCTCCTTATTAAAATGCATTAAATTTGTTTTTTTCATACATAGAAAGATAAGGTTATTAATTACAGGAACTGCTTATCAGCAAAATGTAAAATAGCAGGAAAGTCATTTGATGGTTTAGCTAAGAAGAAAAAGGAATAATGGGAAGAAAGAAATTCAGATGAAAGAAGTTGAAGGAAATGAATATTAAATTCATATTCATAAATGATTTAATTTTTTAAATTGAAACATTTCCTAGAAAGAAATCACATATTTTAAAAGAAAGTCGATTATGAAGTATACAAGTATATATATATGTATGTAAATTGCCATTTAAAATTAAAAGAATAAACTGTTGTATATTTTACTAGACCTTTTACAAATAAAAAGGATCACCTCACCTCCAGAATGGTCCTGGCAGGATTGCAGGTAGCTGGGGTCAGCAGAGGTGTGAGGGAGAGGTGATCTCGGCATCTACTCCAAACGCCTCGCTTTGATTCCTATATAACCTTGTTGATAACTGGAGTTTTGGGGAATCTTAGGTTTTAAGAACTTCATTTCACAGGTACTTAAAATTAATATCCTGCAAATAGAAGGTAGAGGATTACCTTCTCTTCAGAAAGCAGAAAAATGGAGCAGTCAATTCTATCAACATAGCCTGTATTTGGAGCACGGCTTTTAAACAGACAGCCAGGTCTCTGCTGTTGTGTTGTCTTGCCTGTCAATCAAAGTGTTTGGGAAATGGATTCTCAACGTTATGTGTCAGTCAATAACCTCAGTCTTGAAACAGAAGACCATAACAAGACTGGATTTATTTGCATTTAATTTCAATGAATTTACATGTCATGGTCACAAGTTTTAATTTCCTTCACAAAATAAATTAGTGAAAGTCACTTGTACAGTATTGATAGGAACAAAGATTTTCAGCCTAATTTATCTGAAATATACATATAAATTTAGTAAATTTAAACACAACCCCTAATTTAGAGGAACAGATAGACACTAGGTATTTGGGAGCCATTATTCTTTTTCATTTTAGTAGGAAGTAATTTTTTTCTTTTTTCTTTTTTTTTGAAATGGAGTCTTGCTCTGTCGCCTAGGCTGGAGCGGTGCAGTGGTGTGATCTCTGCTCACTGCAACTTCCACCTCCCAGGTTCAAGCAATTCTCGTGCCTCAGCCTCCCGAGTAGCTGTGATTACAAGCATCTGCCACCACGCCCAGCTCATTTGTGTTTTTAGTAGAGACAGTGTTTCAACATGTTGGCCAGGCTGGTGTCAAACTCCTGACCTCAAGTGATCTGCCCACCTCCGCCTCCCAAAGCGCTGGGATTACAGGTGTGAGCCACTGCGCCACTTTTCCTCAAGTACAAAGTAATATATTTAATATTTGGTGTTGATGAAGGAGGAGTTTAAATTCACAAAGCCTTATGGGGAAGCAGCAGCTTTTGTAGAATATAATATTCTGTTTATATTACCTATCAATCATCTATCTACCTATCTTCTATTTATTGAGTAGTTTTCCAAAACCTTTTCAGCTATAGAACACTTAAAAAAAAAAAAAACTCATCTGAAAAAGTCATATTAAAAACAAAGGTGTTCTGGCTGTGTTTGGGGTGAAGCCCGTGCCCAGGCCCACTCTGCTGCATCCTCATTTGTGGGTTGAAAGGAGAGACGTGTGTTTCTGGGAAAGGGGCAGTACTGGCTGAAGGAATTGCTGTGACCCCATGGCAGCTGCCCTTGGCAATCTCAGGAGGAAATGCCTGCAAACCAGGCTGTGTAACAATAGCCAAACAGGCTGCTTTAGCCTTTGCCAACACCAGAAATAAAGAATTCATTATGACTAATTAATTAATAAAATATGCAATGCTTCCTTTAAGGCTGTCCTGACTGGAAACACTGTAACAAAATTAGCAAACACTCTAAACCATGAGTCCCATGTGTTAAACATCCCCCAAATCATATCTGATAAATAAAAAAGCATACCTTCTAAGCCAGTGAAGGGTCGAATATTTCAGGAAGGATCCATTGTTAACCAGTTGAAAATACCTCGATTATATTCCATACTGCAGTGGGAAGGAGTGATTTACTCTTACTTTATTGGCTTGCATTTTAATTTGAATCTATTTTTAAAAACCTACTTTGGTTGTGGTTCAATACTTGCATAGTTGGCCAAGTGATGTTTAATCATGCATTTGAGTCGGTTGGGGACTGCAAGCTCTCAGAGGACGGGACTCAGCTGCTTAACTTCAATCCTCTGCCAACTGCTCTATGTTGTCAGGTGCCTAGGGATGGCCTTGCAGCCAGAGCTTTTTCTGTGGCTTCCTTTTCCTCTTCATTCTATCTCTAGTCCCCATTCAGACTTTTTAATAAGAGCAAACTACTTCCCTCGGTAGAAAGATTCCATCTGCAGAATTTTCCTGTTGAGCATATGTCACGCATAACCAAAAATTGTATCAAATGAAGAGGATGTTTGACTTCAGCCAAAACCATTCTAAGAGACTTTGAAGTTATGGCGGCTCCACTAGTTGTACTCCACTAGAAAAGTTTTTTTTTTTTTTTAATGACACATTGAACCCTAAAACTAGCTCATCAGATCATTCAAATAGCCTGGCTGATTAGACGTTACAGTCCCAGTGACAACATTTTATAGTAAATGTCAGAAACAGAAAAGATAGGTGGACAGATGAGTTACGATTCTCTATGACAAATGGAACGATGAGGTTGAGTATCTTCTTAAACATGAGCTCAACTTTCCTCTGAAACCTTTGCAGATTACATTTGATTGCTGTCTAGATCAGAAAGGATGATGTTACCAAAGATCCATTCTTTAATTGCTGCTTCAAGCTAGGGAGTCCTTGTGCTTTCAAAAATCCCTTCCAGTTTCCAGGGAAAAGGATCATTCTTTGAACTTTACATGTCTCTTAGTAAATTTGAATCCATGATTTGGTCCTAGACATGATCGCAGTTTTCAGTTCTTGGGCAATCAAATCAACCCAAAATAAATTTCTCTTCTTACATGTATGTATTGGGAAGGATGGAGTAACAGATGGGGGAAGGCTACTGAAATAGAATATCGCTTAATCTCAGATATCAGGGTCCTTAAAGCTTCAAATGAGCACTTACTTGGAATAATTGGTAATCCATTTACTCATTCACTAATTCATTCCATAGACGTTTACTGTGTGCTTGAGATCTACCAGGCACTGGGCCAGGTTTGGGTAACAATGAACACAACGCATCTCCTTTCCTCAAGGTTAGTGCTACAGACACAGAGATAAACAATAAGGACTGATCATGTACAGGCAACAAGGCACAGGATCCTGAGGGGGAACAGAGAAGGGAGACCTAAAGCAGTCTTGGAGGGGAGGGTGGCATTGAGATGAGCCAGCCTGGGGAAGGTGGGTGTGAGAGAATGGCAAAAGGTAAGAAGGGAAAGCAAATCAAGCACCAGGTTTTGAAGGGCTTTGTGCATCAAATAAGTTTATCTGATCTTGATCTGCTTTTGCCTTTCTCAGACTTTGATATCCTGGTGGCCATATTGCAAAACCACAGGATAAACAAGAAATATCTTCCTGGAGCATTGTTTTTGCTAAGTGTTGAGTAATTTAAAATATTTATTACTAAAGAAGTAGAGTGCAAAATCTGCATACATTTGTAAGATAAATTATAAAACTCCTAAGATATTTTGTACTTGTGACAGGGAACTTCAGATCCCAGGCCTGCTCTCTCCTTTGCCATTGGGGAAATGCTTGTGGAAAAGTTTGCAAAGCAGATCGTAATGGGGAGCTACTTAAGAGTTTTAAGGAGACCAATGACAGGAGCCAGTTTGCAAGTTAGAAAGACTTCAGACTGCCAGGCAGATAACGATTTAGAGAAGAGTGAGAGTGGAAGCAGGAAGAGCTGCTTCAGGAGGCTCTGCGTGGTGGCTCATGCCTGTAATCCCAGCAGTTTGGGAGGCCGAGGTGAGTGGATCACCTGAGGTCAGAAGTTCGAGACCAATGAATAACCTGAGGTCAGGAGTTCGAGACCAGCCTGGCCAACATGGTGAAACCCCATCTATACTAAAAATATATATAAAAAAATTAGCCGGGCATGGTAGTGGGCGCCTGTAATCCCAGCTACTCAGGAGGCTGAGGCAGAAGAATTGCTTGAACCCAGGAGATGGAGGTTGCAGTGAGCCAACATGGTCCCACTGCACTCCAGCCCGGGTCTCAACAAAAAAAAAGAGAAGAGCTGCTTAGAGGCTATTGTAGTCACAGATATGAGAAATATACTGGCTCTAACTAGGGTGGCAGCAGCAGGGATTTAAAAAAGTGATTTGCAAGACATTAAGGCAATAGCATCAATGAGACAGTTTTTGATTCATTCATGTAGTTAATAAACTTTTACCGGGTTTATAAGTAACAATGCCTATGTTCCAGGTATTGTTCTAGGTTCACAGCAGGGAAAAACACAGAAAAGAACCCTACCTTCTTGGGGCTTATATTCTAGAGGAAAGAGGCAGATGAAACAAAGTAAATAAGCAGTTAACCCCATAGCATAAATCAGTGATAAATGTCCCAGTGGAAATGAATTGGTCAATGTGATGATTCCCTGGGGAGCAGATAAGGTGGTCAGAAATGGGATTTGAAGAGTGAAAAGAGAAGAAGGCAAACATGATGAGTGAATGACAGTGTGCTATACTGAGACATGGAACATAAGAAGAAAGGAATATTTGAGAGGGAATGAATGATACTGAGTTCAGTTTGGGAGATCCAGGAGAATATACCCATAAGAGAATTGCCTTGGAATCTGTGCTTAAAATATAAAGAGATAGATAGATGATAGATAGATGATAGATAGATAGATAGATAGATAGATAGATAGGTATAAAAAACATACATGCTCACATAACACACACACAAGTACCACATGGAGTCACTTTAGAGATGGGGAGGTACTGAATCTAAAGATATGGAAACAGCAGCAATAGGAAATGAGGGCACAGCCCCAGAGACCTCTTGAGCAGGTGTGGGATTGAGATGAAAGATAATGTGTTGTTTATTAGCTAAGGAGCATCATCTTAGCTAATACATGCTATGTATGCAATAAATAGCATGTTCTCTGACGTTCAGTAGATATAATCAATGGTTTGATGGTTTGATTTGGTACATGTTCTATTCTGCTTTTATTAGTGGAAATAACTCCAAGAGTGTGCGTGGGGAAGTCAGTGGAGCAGTTGGAGCTCTTTTTTGGCATGTGCTCTATGCATGACTTCCACACTGTCCACCTGAACTTAAAAAAGGCACCTGCACAGTCCCTAAAGAGACTCCAAGCTATAATGAGGCCCATGCCCAGAAGCGGAGGGAAGCCATTAAGATAATGAGGGAATCTGGTGTTCTTCCTTGCAAGAGCCCCAATTAGAGAATTTAAAACCCCACATTTCAAGGATGTGTTACCATTGAAAAATTCCAGTTTTTTCTTTCTAGACAATGTGAGACAATAAAACCCCAGTGTGAAAAAGGAGGAAGCTCAAGAAACCCACTTCTGGGAAGAAGTGGAGGAACATAAACAACCTTTTTTCTTTTTCACCCTGCAAAGAGTCCTTCCACCACAGCTGAATGTCTTTCTTCAACTGCTATTGCTTAATAATCTTAGCATTTACATTGACCTTTAAATTGGTCGTTTGGCTGGAGACAGTTTTCTGTGGGGCAGATTTAGCTAAGATCTGCCTACTGGTTTATACTAAAATCCTGCATAATTATAAAAGCCACGGACCTCACTTTTGGAGTCTTCCAACATCAACATTGAAGAACACTCCACCTTCCAAAAAAAAACACAAAACATGTTTCTGCATGAAAGGCCACTTTGAGCAAATGAAAGTATCTGACATGCAGCTCTAAATAGGTCTTTTCACGGGTTATCCTATTACAGTAAATGGAAATGAGTTATTCTTTCCTAGGCGTGGGGTGACATGTTAAGAGTGGGTTTAAAAACCATAGTGTGCTGGCCAAAGCCTGAAAGACAGGCATCTTAGGAAGATGTTGGTCTGTTAATTGGCTACTCAAGGAACAGAAGTAGAAAACAGGATATTAAAAGACCAAATTTAAAATAGATGACAGGCTTATTCAAAAGCCATATACCCGAATTGAATGTGGGAATGTGATTGTCTTTGTGTTTTCGTGTTTTTCATATATGCTCACAGTGTTGCAGTATCAGGAGATTCCTGGCACATGCCCCAACTCTGAGACTGTTTCTATACTTGTCTAGGCTGCAGTGCCACAGACAGCAAAAAAACCCTAATTTTCTAAGTCTAGACAGGAGCGAATATCCAGGAACCAATATGTGTGCTTATTTGTAGTTTCTTTCTAGGAACAAAAAAATCAGAGTTTATAAATACAATTCTATAATCATACCTTTCCAAAACAAAGAACTGGATATAACTGTCAACTTTTTTTGGTGGCTCATGCCTGTAATCTCAGCATTTTGGGAGGCCAAGGCAGGTGGATCACTGGAGGCCAGGAGTTTGAGACCAGCCTGTCCGACATGGTGAAACCCTGTCTCTACTAAAAATACACAAATTAACCAGGCATGGTGGTGGGCACCTGTAATCCCAGCTGCTCAGGAGGCTGAGGCAGGAGAATCGCTTGAACCTGGGAGGCCAAGTTTGCAGTAAGCTGAGATTGTGCCACTGCACTCCAGCCTGGCCCACAGAGAGAGACACCATCTCAAAAAATAATAATAATAATAATAAAGAATGAATGAAATGAAAGCCAGGCAGATGAATAATTGAGGGTTACTCCATGTCAGTCTCACATTAGGCTGACATTTTTAAAACAGTTTTGATATTCAAAACAAACAAAAAGATAGGTAGCATTTCCAGTTTAAAGAGATGAGGAGGCCAGGCGCGGTGGCTCATGCCTGTAATCCCAGCACTTTGGGAGGCTTAGGTGGGCAGATCACAAGGTCAGGATTTCGAGACTAGCCTGACCAACATGGTGAAACCCCCATCTCTACTAAAAATACAAAAAAAAATTAGCTGGGCGTGGTGGTGGGCGCCTATAATTCCACCTACTCAAGAGGCTGAGGCAGGAGAATCGCTTGAACCCAGGAGGCGGAGCTTACAGTGAGCTGAGATTGTGCCACTGCACTCCAGCCTGGGGGACAGAGCAAGACTCCATCTCAAAAAAAAAAAAAAAAAAAAAAAAAAAAAGATGAGGAAATTGAAGAAAAAATGTTATTTGTCTAATGTCATTTGACAGACGCAGGAAGAATATTCCAACTTAGGATCCTTGAATTCTAAAGACTTTTTGTTTTGTTTAGTTTTGTATGTGTGTATGTATGACTCCTATTAGGCCTCTCTATCCCCTTACAGAAGCCAGTGAAAGAATAAAATAAATAATTCAAAGAAGACCTACAGTAAGAGAGACAGTGCTGTGTGAACAGAGACAGCTGACCCTTCTCAGGAGCATCTCTCTAGATGCCTACTGGTTGGCTTTTTCTTGGTGAATTCATCCGTGTTTAGGTCCTTGTTCTCAATCTTGCAAGCTCAAAAATTTAAACTGGTCTATATTCCAAAGTTGGTCCAGTTTTCTTCTCTTTCTCTCAAACAACACAAAGATGAATATAAAAGCAGAAAAATCTTTAAATTTATACAATGAGAATTATAACACCCAAGATGAATGGGCAATCATGTTAACCTGACTAGCACATTCTTTTACCAGTCACATAAAGATAAGATTCATGCGATGCCAAGTTATGATCAGAACATGTGAGATTTTGTGTATTGTTAAAGAAAAAAACATACCTTATGAGACTCCGGTAGCCACCTATACAATTGTGAATTGATTACTAAGCTGACTATAGCAAGATCTGAGTCAGTCTTGAATACCAAGATCTAAATTACCAATGTTTGCCTCTGGCGCTCCATTTCCAACAATGCCTCTCTGGCTAAAAAATAATCTCTCTTTAATTTACTACATTAGTAGAATTAATCAGGCTATTGGCAATACTTGAGTCCAGGGATCACTTTTGATATTTTTTTAGGTTTCTTGAAATATATTTATGTTTAGCCATTACGTGTTCACAGCTCAACCTTCAGAGAATAGCCTAAAGTTAGGATTAACTTTATCCATATCTAGCCCCACTGACCCCACCTGGGGAGAAAAAAAACATCAGAGGACTTCAGCTATACCTGGAACAAAAATATCCAATTTTCTTTGGGTTGACATAATCAGCTGGATAATAAACAAAAACTGAAATAATAGTAATTCTACATGCAAATGATACAATTCACTTGGCACAACTGTCCCTTAATCTGATGCCTAATTGAGAAAAATATCAGGCAGCTCATTTATAGCATAAAACTATCATTCTGGAGAAAATTTTTCTCATGAGTAATTAAACAAAATTTAAATAAAAATGCTGCCACCAAGTAAATTTGTTAAATTGTGCTTTTACTGTATCAGGGCCTCAATTTAATTGTCATCTGTCTGTAAATACTAGAGAAGAATTTGCCATCAGTTTAAGAACATAATGACTGGCAGTTTTCCAGACATAATTACTCCAAAACAGGACAGCATTGTGTAGACTGCAAACACTTGCACAAAAGATATGGTTTATGTATGAGGTAACGTAAGGGCATGAAAGAGGAAAGACTACTTTTAAACCCATTACGAATATCAGGAAAAGATTGGGAAAAGACAGCCCCATTGAGTTAACGAAGGGTACATTCCAACATACAATTACAATCCCATTTACAAATAAAAGCATCCTTCAGTTGCAGACATCAAAGAAACCCATCAAATTTCAATCAGGCTTACGTTATAAATATTGGAGAGGAAAGATGGATGAGGGATAATTACTTACAGCAGGTCACTACTTTTCTAGTGAAGAAATAAGAATGTTAATAGAACCAAATATGCCTGTTTTTCAGTTCAAATAAAAGGGAAGCAGTACATATTTACAGCGGATTAAATGGTGACTCAAGAACTGATCTTTCAGGTGCTATAGGCATCGGGCAGTGGAATTCAGGAGCAGGAAGAAGTCTCTCCCCCAAAACAATCCAGCCTTTATTCTCTGCCAGGGAAATTCCACCATGAAATTTCTCTATGACAGCACTATTTCTATTCAAACTCAAAATACCATTGGGAATGAAAGAACATTAAGCTGCTGCCAATTATTTACTTCTTACTAGGAAATAATTTCAACAACATTTATTTGACAAAAGTTTATTTATGTACCAGGCCCTCTAAAAGCTATTGGGAATACAATATGGAACTAACATAGACATGATTTCTTACCTCCTGGATCTTAGATTCCAGCTGGGGAGACAGCCATTAATCAAATAACCCCTAAGTGGGTGTTTAATTACAGACTGAGAGAAGATCTATGCAGAAGAGAAAGGTGGGCCTTAAAAAGCCTATGACTTCATCTAGGCTGGGGTCTCAGAAAGTCCAATGAGGAAGTAATCATTGAGCTGACTGTTGAAGGATGAACAAGAGACAGCTAGGTGAGGAGAAGGATGGAAACTCATTCTGAGCAAATTAACAGTATGCTCAATATCCATAAAATGGAATGTTATTTAGTCATAAAAAGAAATGAAGTACCGATAAATGCTACACCATGGATGAACATGACAAACACTGTGTTAAGTGAAAGAAGCCAGGCACAAAAAGCCATGTATTGTATAAATCCATTTATATGAAATGTCCATAGAGATAGAGATAGAAAATCCATAGAGACAGAAGTCAGATGAATGTTTACCAGGCCTGGGAGTAGGAGGGAATGACTAGTGACTATTTAGTAGGTATGGATTTTCTTTGGGGATTATGAAATACTGTGGAACTTGACTGTGGTGATAGTTATACAACATTGTGAATGTACTCAAATGCCATTGAGTTGTCCAAATTAAAATGGTTAAAATGGTGAATTGTAGGTTATGTGTATTGTAACACAAATTTTTTTTTAAGCAGTATATTAAAAGACCCTTCTCCTGGCAGGAGTGAGCATGGCTTATTCTAGAAACTGAAAGATGCAGTGTGGATGGATGGCAGAGACAATGGGGAGAAGAGACAGTAGGCTGGGACAAGAGCATGCAGAGGCATGGAGGCCTTGCTAGGATTCGGCCTTTATCTTAAGAGGAATGGAAGCCACTGAAAGTTAAGTGTGCATCTGTGCGTGTGTGTGTGTGTATGTGTGTATGTGTATGTATATAGAGGGGGAGCATTACCATCCACACACACACACTTGAAAAAATATCTATATATTCTGTGCATGTGTGTGCATGTGTGTGTGTATAGAGGAGGAGCATTACCATAAACACACACATACACACACACACATATTTGAAAAATATAACCATATAGCCAAGAAAGAGTGTGTCTTTATAGCTTGAAAGAAGAGTGTGGTGGAAGATAAGATGGGAAGAGGGAAATGTGCACAAGGCAAACGACACCTCCTTCCTAGTTTTTGTAGGGCTAATTCTGTTTAGGTCCTCCTAGGTAGAGTTGTATAGAAGTCTTGAGATTAGCAAAACACATGAGGATATTTCAGTGTGAGGTAAACAAGCAACTGATGCTTGAGTGTGTAATAAGTTATTTTAATATGGGAAAGCCGAAGAATGAATTAGATATTTAATGAGATTTTAAGATGGGGGCACAGGTTGGTGCTCAATCTAGGGTTTAAACTTCAGGGTAAGACAGTGAAGAGCAGTGCTCAGGTGCAGTTGGAACTGTCAGTGATGGCAATAACATGATTTTGGTTTTCCTTGGTTAGAGAATTCTTCTGAGAATGGACCAGAACTTCTGTACTCCCGGTAATTTGTGGGATCCTACAGACTTGCCACACGGAGCTAGTTGCATTGCATCTCTCAGTATCAACAGTGTGTGCCACATTGGGGTAGAAATGAGGTTATGCTTCAGTTTGGAGGAGGTGCTTTAGGAATAAATACATTAATTGATGTTAGAAATTAGAGAGCATCATAAATTTATTTATTCATTTGTTCCATCCTTTCTCATGAAGCAAGTGTTTGAGTATTGTCTATTTTAGAGCACTATGCTATGCCTAAGTCCAGAAGACCAATAATTAAAACGAGGTCATTTTCTATGAAAATTAAGAAATTACAAATGTAATTTTACAGATAAGATACATGAATGAAACTTTCTGTTTAGATCATAAGGCCAGAACCTAAGAAGTCTTGTTTACTTTCTAACTAAATATCTATAGGAATTATTTTTTAATGGACATAATTTTTGAATGAATACAGTTTTAAAAATCCAAAATCACTTTTTGTACTAATACCATATTTCCATCAACTGCTATTTTTCGCCTCCATGATATAATACCAGAAAGTATCTCAGGTACATATTGGACAATGGGTAAAAAGAAAAAGACTTTTCTTTTTATCGATGTTTATGTAAACTTGATAATCACATTCATTACAAGATGTAAGACTTTGAGAACCACCTGACAATGGGAAGATGTTTAGTGAAATCCTATGAAGCAATTTTTTTGTGAAAACAGTTTTCAGAAAAGAGAGTTGTCTAAGTTCCCATAGCAATAAAGTAGCACTGCATAAAACTCCCAATATCTCAGCTGTTATTATCCAGCACTAGATAGCACCTAGCAATAGAAAGGCTTTTCCTTGTGTCAGTAAGCAGATGGGCAGGGGCTACCTACTTTCTATGAAGTTGAAGATTGGTCAAAAGATCAAGAGACAATCTAACTGAAAGGTTTTCTATTAACTCAAAAGATTCATAAGGGCAAAAGTGAAAAACTAGAGTAAGAATAAAGGAGGACCCAGTGCTCAATAAGTTTAAAAATTCAAAATAAATGGCAATAACTTAAACACAATTCCATGGCTTAAAATTACCTGATACATTTGATTTCAAAGAAAAACCACTCATTTATTTTATTTAATTATGACTAAAGTCAGTGGCATATACATTTTTAATAATATGTGCATTTGCTTGAAAAATTAGGAAATAAAACTTAACATTTTAAAAAGGCATTGTAAAGAATGTGACTCCTTAGTACTGACAGACTGACTCCTGAGTACTGAGAAGATTGACAGGCTCTCAAGTGAAGAGAAAATTAGAAAGGTAACTAAAATACAAATTTTTCCAGCTATTAAAACTCATTGACACGGATCAGCCTAAATTCAGAAGGTGATGTTTTCTTAATTAAGTCACTGATGCCATTCCTATTATCATGAACACTAGAAGAGAGATTTTTAATAATCCAAGGCTCATAAACCCCTAGGCTATCTATCAGTGGGGTTTAGGGCATCTGTGAACCCCCCGTCCCTCACCAAATCTTATGATAAATAGTGTGTGATAGATGTCTATTGTATCAACTTGGCTTAGAACTAAGTCTTCCATATGTCTTTTCTGCAGATTTCTTGGACAGTGTGGACCTCAAGAGACATTTTGCATAAGATGTAGAAAGTGGAAGTGAAGCAGTAGCCATCTTGTTTTTTTATGCTTGGAAGATGGATGCAGGGCTCCAAGCACTGTTGGAACTCATGCATGTTGTCACTTATCCACAAGCTCACCTTGTTGGTGAGGGGCAGCAGCTGGGCTCCTGCCAGATCCTCCTGCTGCATCAATTTCCCTGAATCCTGGACCAGATGCATATTTAGCTCCATGATGGAAGGCACCAGTTTCTCCTTCATTCAGCTTGCCTTTTCTTCCTCTGCTTCCCATCCATCTTCTTTGCCCAGCTGTCTGTGGACTTCAGGTGCCAGCACCAGGCCAGAAACTACAGCTTTATATCCAAACTCAGACCTCTTCACCAGTTTCCACAGCACTGTAAGGACAAATCCCTACAATTAAGAAATATATATTTCTTAATTGAAAATTAAGAAATTGAAAATTGAAAAATATATATTTACTTATGTAAATATATATTTATATGTGTAAAGATTTACTTATATATAAGTAAATATATATTTATATGTAATATATAATATAAATATTTGCTTATATATTTATATATAAATATATACATACATTATATATAAATATATGCATATTATATGTGATATTATATACAGTTAATAAAATATAAATATATATTTATATATTAAATATACTAAAATATATTATAAATATATATTTTAATAACTGTATAAACTAATAAGCGTGTATGGTTTTGCTTAAACCCTGATACATTGTATGTTAAAGTATAATTTTTTTAAAGTTATAAATGTATGGCCAGGTGCCGTGGCTCATGCCTGTAATCCTTGCACTTTGGGAGGCTGAGGCGGGTGGATTACTTGAGGTCAGGAGTTCAAGACCAGCCTGCCCAATGTGGTAAAACCCTGTCTCTACTAAAAATACAAAAAATTAGCTGGGCATGGTGGCATGCTCCCGTAATCGCAGTTACTCAGGAGACTGAGGCAGGAGAATCGCTTGAACCCAGGAGGCAGAGATTGCAGTGAGCTGAGATCACGCCACTGCACTCCAGCATGGGCAACATAGCGAGACTCCCTCTCAAACAACAATAAAAGCGGGCAGATCATGAGGCCAGGAGATCAAGACCATCCTGGCCAACGTGGTGAAACCCCGTCTCTACTAAAAATACCAAAATTAGTTGGGCATGGTGGCACGCACCTATAATCCCAGCTACTCAGGAGGCTGAGGCAGGAGAATTGCTTGAACCAGGGAGCCAGAGGTTGCAGTGAGCCAAGATTGCGCCGCTGCACTCCAGCCTGGTGACAAAGCGAGACTCCATCTCAAAAATAATAATAATAATAATAAGTTACAAATGTAACTCTCATACAAATTCATAGTGAGCATAGTATGACAAAGATTTACTTAAGTTATTAATGAGGATCCAGCGGGATGTCAAAAATAGTTCAAAGAAGGATGTAAGTCACCAATGAAAGTATAAGAAAGAATGCGGGAATATGATTGCTAAATTAGATTCAAAACTGGTTAATGTACTACACGACAATCAAAACATAAATTTTAGAATTATCTCCCTTTTAGAGAGAAATCATTGGCATCTCATCTGGACAAAAATCATTGTCATCCAATGAAATTTCTACAAGTTAAGAAGTAATTTTATAATTTGGACTCTAATCAATAGTAAACAGTAATCAGGCAAAGCTATATTTCAAGAATCAGATGAGCCTTCATCAGGCTTATTGGACACTGCTCAAGCAAAACTTGGGAATGTCATAGTTATCATTTTGCTTTATTTCCAAATTTTGGAAATTTTTTTAGCATATTTATATGTATTTTTCTACAGAGAACAGCCAAAATCTAAAGGGATTTTCAGTTTTTAAAAAGAGAGAGTAAAACCAACCAAATTTAAAAAATAAAATAGAACAGATCCCATTCGAATTTTTCAATAATTGCAAAAAGTAAGAAAAACTTGTTTAATTCTGGAAGTTCTTGTTTAACTGAATTTTTTCTTCATTGCTAGTATAAAAATAAAAATGCTCAAATATCTCATGGTTTTAAAATAACACAGCCATAAAAAGCAGTTCATTTGTTATTGTAAGCTACCATATTATCTTTTTATTTTACTTTAAATGAATAGCCAGCATTTACTGAGGTCTTACTATGTAGCAGGAGATTTGACATACATTATCTCGTAACAACCCAGTGATGCAGTTACTGTCACTGGCCTTGTGCTCTAGAGGAAGAAGTCAGCTCAGAGAAGTAAGTCAGCTCCACTGTGAATATTTGGACCCAGGGTTTTCTCACTTTATTTTATTATTACTATTTTTTTAGAGACAGGGTCTTGCTTTGTCACCTGGGCTAGAATGCAGTGGCATGATCACAGCTCCCTGCAGCCTCAAACTCCTGAGTTTAAGTGATTCTCCCACCTAAGCTTCCCAAGGCCTGCAGGTGAATGCCACCACGCCAGGCTAACTTTTTTTTATTCTTATTATTATTTGTAGAGATGGGGGAATCTCTTTTTTTTGTTCTTATTGTTATTTGTAGAGATGGGGGAATCCTTATATTGCCCAGGCTGGCAAATTCCTGGGCTCAAGCAACCCTCCTGGCTCGGCCTCCTAAAATGTTGGGATTATAGACGTGAGCCATTACATCCATTATAGACGTTATAGACGGAGCCATTACATATATTAGAGACCACAGATTTGCCCACCACTAGCTTCTTTCACCTCTCCCAGAAAACTCCTTGAAAAATAAACATGTTTATTACATATTCATTGCCTACTTCTTGTGCAATCAATGCATAGTGTATGCAAACTGCCTTGCTAGCTTGGGGCCTGGCACATAACACAAGTTAGTTTCCTCCATCTCTGTCCACCCTCCCATCCCTTACAGAAGTAACAGGTTGCTAAGGTTCTGTTTTATCCCTTTTTCTTGGCAATATCACAGTTTTAAAAATAAAAGCTATAAAAATGACCCCAAAGTCTACTTCAAATTCCAGATATCGCCTCCATATATCCATTGGCTTGTTGGGTTTCTCCATAAGATGTCCCTCTAGCATTTCAAATTGTGTCTCAAATTAGAATATACCTGGCACAGAGATGTCATCATGAATTTAAGCTTTGTTCTAATATGTTTCTCCCCTAATAACGATGGGCATATGTGAGCCCAGGGTGTAGGAACATCAGTTTTACTCAGTGGTAAGTAAAGTGTAATATTATTCCTCCCCTAAAATATTCACATGGCTCATTCCCTCATCTCTTTGAAATTTTTGATAAAATGGCTCCTCCCTAAAGAGACTACTTGACCATCTCATCTATCACATACCTCTTAGCCCTCCCAGTCCTCCTGTCTTGTTCTATTTTTTTTCTAGCACTTATCACCTACTAAGACCCTATATAATTTACTTTTTTGTCATGTTTATTGTTACTGTCAATCTCACTTTACAAGAATGATGGTTCCACAGGGCAAAGATTTTGTTTGTTTTGTTTACCAGATTGTCAATGCTGCCTAGAGCAGGACACATGGTTGGTACTCTATAAATATTTGTTCAGTGAATGAATGAATCGATGATAGCAAAACAAACACAGCTACGTTATAGTATGCACAGAAAACATGTATGAATTGAAAATGTGACACATCAATGGAAATAGTTAAATTTTTTCTATAACTTGATACACATTTTTCACTTAAATAAAAATTTTAAAGAAAACTTCTAACACTACAAAAATGAAAATCACTATCACTTGCTTTAAATACAAGACAACCTTACTAAAAATTATGTAATTACTAACATAAATATTACATATGTACTCTTTAAAATCTCCATTTCACTGGGATCACACACCTCATACTTTGGGAAATATTAGACTAAGAAATTTAAGGAGATTCTATATTAGAGATTACTAACTCCTAAACCTGGAAGTGGTTATGGAAACTATCTCATTTTAGAAATAAAGAAATGGAAGGTGAGAGGGTTTGAGTGTCTTGTTCCAAGCCAGACAGTGATGTTTAGGGGTCTGTACCACCTAATTATTCTGCTCTTCCATGACACATGTTTGCTTGTCTCTAGCAGTGTTGTGCCATTCACAATTAAGCAAATCCTCTCTGGCATTTACCTGCTTCTGAGCCTTTCTTTGTCTGAACATTTTTGTTTGCTTTCTGACTCCTTTACCCTTATAGACCAGATTCATCCTACACTTTGTGTTTCTTTTGCAGCATTTATTTGTGCTCTTCTGTATTATATTGTTCTTTTTTTGTACTTGTGTCATATTTCCTACTTTTCTTGAGCTTCAGTATAGTAACAGTTTTATTTTTAAACTGTCCCTCTGTGATACCTAACATTATACCTAATAGTGAGTTTGTGTTCAATAAGATTTTTACAAGAACTCAATTGAATCTTACTACTATTTGGGAACAAAGCATTAGAAAATGAGATGCTGGTGGTCTTTATATACTATGGGGCCCATCTGTTTGCTATTACCTGTTTCCCACCTGCTGTCATTACCAGCATAAAACTCCATCTGCTACTTCCTCTTCTCTTCCAAGCCTGACTTGGCACTAAATCTGTCAGACTCTACATTAGAGTTGACTAGTCAGCATTACTTTTCCGTAATGATTTTTCCTAATTACTACATCTTATTTTATTTTATTTGGTCCTCGAGAGTATCCTTAAGACGTGAGTCAGGTAACTAGCACTAAAATCAGGACAAATCTGTCAAAACTGTTTTTTAAAAAGCATTAAACAAGCATTCAGATTTGAAATTGAAGTAGAGGTTACAGATGGGTGAGTGTGACCTTGGGAAATCACTCAACGTTTCTGGTTCTCAGCATTCTTTCCTTTATGATGAGAGAATTAAGCGCAGTGTCTCTGAGATCCCTTCCAAATGTAACATCCCTGATAGCAAAGGTTCATCCCTGAGGACATCCTCATCCACTGCATTTTATTCTCTCATCATAGAGGAGAGAATGCTGAGAACCATCCTCAATGGCATCGCCTTCACAAGTCTTTCCTGACCCCTATCCTGATCAAACTGAATCCCATCTTTCAACTTCTAAATGCTTAATTCTCACCTATGTTCCTGTCTTACTTTATCCTATACTGTCGTCAAGCTAGCTGTGCCTTACTCCATCACACTGCCTTCTCCCTCAAGTCGTGGGTTGCTGAAAGCAGTAATAATCTTTGCAACTCCCTCAAAGGTCTAGTAGAGTGTGTTATAGCTAGCACAGGCAGTACACACTGGACAAATTAATGAATGAACTGAAAAAGCATAATATCATAATGATTCTGTCCTGGAAGAAATAAAAACCAAAAATGCTACTGAACAAATCAGATAATTATAGAAATTTGAACTGGGCGTGGTGGCTCACATCTGTAATCTCAACACTTTGGGAGGCTGAGGTGGGCAGATCACTTGAGGTCAGGAATTTGAGACCAACCTGGCCAATATTGGAAAACCCCGTGTCTACTAAAAATACAAAAATTATCCGGGTATGGTGGCTTATGCCTATAATCCCAGCTGTCTGGGTTGCTGAGGCACAAGGATCACTTGAACCCATGAGGCGGAAGTTGCAGTGAGCTGAGATGGTGCCACTGCACTCCAGCCTGGGCAACAGAGTGAGACTCTGTCTGGAAAAAAAAAAAAAAAGAAAGAAAAGAAAAGAAAAAGAAAAAAAAAAAGAAATTTGAGCCATAGCCACCATTATGAATTTTAGTCACCATGGAAAGTGACTCCAGAAAATAAATGTAATATACAATTTAAACATAATAGCAACATATGGTATGTTTAATATGTAAATACAGAAGCCTATATAGAAGAAGAGGCCATGTTACAGAATGATCAGGAGTGTAGACTATAGAGATTGTACTTGATGCCTGGCTTTCATCATGACTCCGATACTTTGTATGAGCTAGGGGAAGTTATGTGACTTTCTATCTCAAATTTATCATTTGTAACATGGAAGTATCTAGTTCTTAGAGTTACTATGTGAAAAAAATGAATGTCTGGCACATGTTGAGTATCTGGCACATATTAAGTGCTTAAGAGATGGCACATATTAAGTGCCATTATTTTATATTCAGTACTAAAATATTTTAGTATGCTTGTTCTTTAGCCCACAAAATGGTAGTAATAATGAAAGTTTTCTCCTAGAACCACTGTGAGATTTTTCAGTGCTTATGGCTATTGAATACATTCTGGTTATATTATTGGATTCATACAAAAATATCTTAACTTAAAAATAGCTAAAAAGCGCTGAGGCATTTTAAAGGTGACCTGGATTCTTGCTCGTCTCAAGCCACTTTATTTTTCCAGGTTGAGAATCATGTAGTATTGGCTTTTTAAAAAACTAGCAAAATATATATTTATCTTCTAACTAATGGATGTACAGCAGACAGAAAGTTAATGAGTATTGTCTTAGTCTATTTGGGCTGCTATAATAAAAAATGTCATAGACCAGATGGCTTAAACAACAGACACTTATTTTTCACAGTTCAGGAGGCTGGAAAGTTCAAGATCGAGGCACGGGCAGACTGGGTGTCTGGTAAGGGCCTGCTTCCTGGTTTGTAGACACAGCTGTCTTCTTGCTGTGTCTTCACATGGTGGAATGGGTGAAGAAGCTCTTTGAAGTCTCTTTTATAATGACACTGATGCCATTCAATGAGGCTCCCCACCGTGAACTCCCAAAGGCCTCACCCACAAATGCCATTAGGTTGGGGATTAAGTTGCAACATATAAATTTGGGGGAAACACAAGCATTCAGTTTATAGCAAGTATGAATACTTTCTGAAAGTTTCTGAAAGAAAATTCTACCATATTCTTACTTCAGCAACACTTTCACTTTTGAGCCAACCAAACCATTTTCCAAAATCTGTCATGTAATGTTAATTCTGTGAGGTTGAAGTTAGTGATTAGGGCATCAGCTTTGTGATCAGACAGAAAGGAGGTCACATCCTGGCTCCACCACTTTCTAGGCACATGAAATTGAACATGTTACTTCACCTTTCTAACCTCAGCTTTTCCATCTATGATACAAGAATAATAACAGCTTCCTTACTCACAGGTTATCGTAAGGATTAAGAAAGATCACATAGATGGCATGATTGTGTGGCAGAGAATAAACGATCAATACACGGTATAGCTATTATTATTTCTGATGAAATACACTTGCCATTATGTCTGCAAAATGGTCAATTTTAAGTCCATTTCAGAATACTGCATTTCATAAAGAAGTTCCAGGTTTTCACAATACCAACTGATTGAACAATCAGAGGAAATTTTTTGTGAAAGGCAAAATTTTGCTTGAGCAGTAAGTAGTCTTTTTCACAAGATTTTACATATACTGGAATAGTAATATTATCACAATGAGTCTCAATATCATCTCTCTTGTTGATGAAAGACTGACAGTTCACATAATTGTTGCCTTAAATATGGACTTATACGTTCAGAGTAACAGGGAAAAGAATGTGCTATTCTGTCAAGGATATGAGGGTGTTCTTGAAGCAAGTGTATCTTCAACATCTTGTCCAGCTGAAGGAATATAAACTTTGACAGCATCTCCAGCTGACAGCATCTAGAATTGAAGGGGCTGCTTCAGGGTTGGCACAGGTATTTACATCACCCTCTTCTGCACCCCAGCCCCTCGCCTCTTTTTTGGCTTCTCACTCCACTGATAACTGCAGGATCAAGCCTGGGAAAGCACATGAAAAATTCACCAACGCAGAACAATGCAATCATACAACAAGGTGACATTTTAGGTAACTTAAACTATAAGAAGTGCCTCCCGAGAAACAGGAAATTATATCCAAAGTAGTTTGAGGGAAAAAATAGTTTCAGGCTGGAGTGCAGTATCGTAATCTCAGCTCACTGCAACCTCTGCCTCCTAGATTCAAGAGATTCTCCTGTCTCAGCCTCCCCAGTAGCTGAGATTACAGGAAAAAATAGTTTTATAAGATTTTTTTTGGAGGTAGCTTCATGATTTAACATCATAAAGTGCCATGGTAAAAAAAAAAAATTGCAGATTTAGTAATGAGCAGAGAAACAGCCTCTTGAGTGATGCTCTAATTCACGACATGCCACTGACAATTCACTGAGCTGTGTATGCATATCTTTTCATTTCTGCACCGAAGTTATGCTCAGGAGTCTAAAAGCTGTTTTAAAATGCCAGGCTTCGAGGTGCTGTTCTCCTAAGACATGGCAGACCTATAATTTCTTCACATATTTACATAAATGGCTCCTGTGAATGGGGGAAGTCTTTATGTGGCTAACATTATAAACTTCTATTATGAAACAACTCATTACCCATTATCAGCCCCTGTCACCCAGTCTATGTATAGAGAAGGAGAGGAGAGAGAAATGTCATTAAACAAAAATGAAATTGCTGAAAAAAATGGAGCAGGAGACATTTGCCTAACTCTATAAATCAAAGGTAGTGGAGTATAACTTTATCTCATTCATATTAGGTCATTAAGCCAGAAAAAGCTGAGGAGCGGTAAGAACCTTGGTACTTAAAATGCTATAACCATTTAGTGCTCTCTCTCTCTCTCTCTCGGAGCAGGCTTTGTGATTTCTCTCCCTCCCTCCCTCCATCTTTCTCTGTCTTCCTCTGTCCCTCATGTGAAAACTCTGTTATTCAAAGGACAAAAGGAAATCTGTTTGAGAAGAAAAATTATTTTTCTTTCTAATCCATTATTCTTTTACAGTTGCAAAAGCTATCATATGATCCTTGTATTACACAGTAGCAATGAGTAGTAATAAGCACTCTAACAGAGCCTGGGCAACATGGCGAAACTCTGTCTCTACCAAAAACACAAAAATTAGCTGGGTACGGTGGCACGTGCCCGTGGTCCGAGCTATGTGGGAGACTGAAGTGGGAGGACAGCTTGAGCCCGGGAGGTAGAGGCTGCAGTGAGCTGTGATTGTGCCACTGCACTCCAGCCTGGGCAACAGAGTGAGATCCTGTCTCAAACAAAACAAAATACAACAAAACCAACACTCTAATAGATATCTCATCAAGCAGTTTCTTTGATTATAAGTATCTTCTAGACTGGATAATTAGATTTTCTTTATTGAGAAGCTATTTCTATCCATCGCTGTACATCAAGGTGTATAAAAATGAATTGATTTGAACTGTGTTTGTAAACTGAGTTTATTTTAGGATTCTGAGAAATTAGATTTGAGAGGACGGCTTGCAGAACTCTTTCATCGAAGGACAAGGAATCTTGGAAAAAAGCACATTGTAAGAGGAGAGGCTGGGTCCATAAGGTGACCTCTAGGAAAATGGGCTAGAGCACCAGGGTGGAAATGATTTTCAGACAAGACGGTACTTGATTCTCAGGTTATCATTTTCCCAGCACCCATGGACTCACTTCCTGAGAGCAGCCTCCTCGAGTCCACAACTTAAACGGTGCTTTCTCTATTATTCTTCCACATAGCATCTGCAGTCTTCCTTCCTAGTAAAATACACATTTGTTGGTGTGTTTACAAGCTAATGGTTGTTTCTTCTACTTGACTATAGGCTCTGTTAAGTTCAGCCTAACGCTGTCTCCTTACATATTTTAGGTTCAACCTAAGGGTTTCTTTGTATGCCATGAACTATAACAAGTGGAGGTGTATACAGACTGTAGCCTGCACTTGTGCCAATCACTGAGCTTTGGCCAATCAAACGTAGCCAACTGTTCAAACCGTGTTCAAATAAGGCAAATGCCAAGCTGTAACCAATCCAGCTATTTCTGTACCTCAATTCTGTTCTCTATATGCCACTTTCCATTTTTTGTCCATAAATCTTCTTCCACACATGGCTGCGCTGGAGTCCCTGAGCCTACTCTGGCTGGGAAGGCCATCCAATTCGCGAATCGTTCATTGCTCAATTAAATCCCTTTCAATTTAATTCAGCTGAAGTTTTTATTTTATCAGTTCCAAGAGGCCAGGCACCATGTCTGTCTTGCTGTCTACTTTTTTCCTAATACCTCATTCATTTATCTGTTGACCAAATGAGCAGATGAATGCGTAAGTTCTAGGGAAAGGGAAGCTTCAATAAAAAGAATAAAGGACAAAAAATCAGGTACACTAAGAGCGAAAAAACAACTCTGTTAGTTTCAATGACATTAATAAAAGTAGGACATGGCACTTAGTGCAGATATATATACACTAGCCCCCACTGATTTCAGTTTAGCTTTTGGTGCTTTCTATTATTCATGGTCAAAACAGTCTAAAAATAATAAATGGAAAAATTCCAAAAATAAGCAACTCATAAATTTTAAACTGTGTGCTATTCTCCATCTTGCTTGGGATGTGAATCATCTTTTTTTCCAGCGTTTTCATGCTATACATGCCACCAGCCTATGAGTCACTTAGTAGCCATCTCAGTTATTAGATCAACCATTGTACTATCACACTGCTCGTGTTCAAGCAACCCTTATTTTATCTAATAATGGCCCCAAAGTGCAAGAGTTGTGATGCTAGCAATTCAGATATGCCAACGAGAAGCTGTAAAGCGCTTCCTTTAAGTGGAAAGGTGAAAGTTCTCAACTTAAGGAAAGAAACAAAATCAAATGCAGAGGTTGCTAAGATCTACAATAAGAACAAATCTTCTATCCAGGAAATTGTAAAGAAGGAAAAAGAAATTTGTACTAGTTTTGCTGATGTACCTCAAACTGCAAAAATTTATCACAGTGTATGATGAGTGCTTAGTTAAGATGCAAAAGGCATTAAATTTGTAGGTGGAAGCCATGAACACAAATGTGTTCCAATGGATGGCAGTTGGGTTCTGTCCTATCCAAGGTTTCAGGCATCCACTGGGGGGTCTTGGAATGTATCCTCTGCAGATAAGGGGTGACCACTATATCTTGGGCACTAAGCATCAGGAACATTTTCCCAGACATCAGATGCCACCACCAGCAGCAAAGATCCTGTTGCTGGAAAAGGGAAGGGGAGGAAGATATAGCCACACTTGGGCTGTTAATAGGAATAGGATAAAGCAATGAAGGAGACAGAGGAAAATAGCAGAGAAGATTGTTTTTAGAGTTCATATGAGATGTCCCAGGAAACTCTCAGAATCATTTGAAAAATTTTTGAGAAAAGCTAAAATTTAACACTTATAAATTTATTTTGAGATTTTACAATCAGCCTTAAAAACATTAACTAACTTATTGCTAAGAGAGAAAGGCAGCTTATAGATGAGCACATATACATTAATGCCTCCATGTGTATGTTCATGTTGGAAAGGACGTAAGTTTTTTTTCTTGTTTCCTTGAAAGAAAGGCTTCAGGACAGAAATTCCTTACAAATACTTATAGTATTAATAGTTATTTTTGAGAAGTGAGATTATAAGTGATTTTAAGATACATGTATATCTTTGTTTGTCTGTATTTTCTATTTTCCCTTCATTGCACAAGAAATCCTTGTAAACATTTCAAGAGTTTTAAAGATGTGCTTTCTTTTGAAAACTGATAAGAAAGGAAAAACAAATCATGCTTACTTCAGTGGGTTTACTTGAGGAATGGAGAAGAAAAAGTAGAAGACCACAGAATCACTTATAAAAGCAGGGATGTGATGGCCAAGCAAGACAACACCACAGCATAGTTCCTGCTTGCTGTGTTCTTTCCTGCAGGTGAGCAGTTCCACTCTAAGCTCGTCTATGAGATGTGAGGCCAGTCTAGATTTGGGTTTTTGGCTCTTGGTGTGGTCTCTGCTCCACTGCACAGAGACAATAAATAGAAATATCAACAATTCAGTGTGGAGCCATTGCCCCCATTTTTGCATTTTCTCTTTCCCTATAAGACCTTTCTATCATTGACTCCATTGAGGGCAATTTTGAGAGATATTGGGATCCCTGGCTTAGAACCTTTGACAGTGTGCCCTGATAGACTCTCTTTGGTCAGAATTTTTTTGCGAGTTTCATAGAATCGTCTCATTTATATGCACTTAAACACCTAAAAACATTCAAGAGAAAAATAATAATAATAATTTAAAAACCACACCAAAACACCTCAAATATTGTTGCATGTCGCCATTCACCCTCGTCCTGATACTATTTTGTCAGATTTGTCTGCCTTGGTTGCTGCCTTCCTCTCTCATGTCTCCTATTTAGGCAGAAAAAAAAGGGTTTCTGGGGAAATAAAAGTAAATATGGTAAATGGAAAATGGAATTGGATAATGAATGATAATATGTAGCCTTCTAACTAGGTCAGGTGAGAACGGTTCCTTTAAAACACCATCTTCCCCTGGGCAATGTGGGACCTGCAGGCACCTCTTTGCCTTTGCTTACAGCAGCCCTTCTGCCAGTAATGTGCTTCTGCAGTTGGCCTGGTTGCTCTTTCTCATCTATCCAAAGAGTGATAGACATCTGCCAGCTTTTGATTATGCCCTGAGGAATCTGTTGCAACAAACGAGTAACAATTTGAAGGACTGAAAAGTAAAGGCAATGACCTAACAGTTCTCAGGACAGGAAAAGCTGAAGGTTAATGGCTTTCTCCCATTACCGCTTCTAATTTTTGCTTTCTATTCAGTTATATTAGTCTTAGTGTCATAATTAAACAACAACAGCCACCATAACAAACAAGGTTTGCCAACCCCCAGAACAAAGAGTAAGCCTTTCTTGAGTACCCATTCTTTACTATGCTTGGCTCTGGACTAGAGATGAATGATTTCAGATCTTTGATGGCAAGGCTTTGGGCCTTTTAAAATACAAACTGATGAGTCACAGAAACAAATGAAGTTGGCTTTACTGAAAGTAGTTTTTACTTCAGATGCTCTGTTTCTCACCATGCCCCATGGCCTTCTTCTGAATATTTCCTCTGCCTACAAAGTGGCTTAACATCCCTATGCATGACAGTGTGTCATCTGTTGATAACTTATATAATAATGTCCCCCCCGGTAATAGTTGAAAACTAAAAAGCAAACAACAAAAACTATCAGTTACTGTGGAGAAGATGGGGAAAATTAAAAATGTATTCAGAGAATGGTGAGGCGTATATAGACCACATCTGTAATAGTCCGTTTTCACGCTGCTGATAAAGACACACCTGAGACTGGGTAATTTATAACAAAAAGAGGTTTCATTGACTCCCAGTTCCACATGGCTGTGGAGGCCTCACAATCATGGTGAAAGACAAAGGAAGAGCAATGGGACATCTTACATGGTGGCTGGCAAAGAGAGAGAATGAGAGCCAAGCGAAAAGGGAAACCCCTTATAAAATCATCAGATCTTGTGAGACTTATTCACTACCACGAGAACAGTATGGAGGAAACCGCCACCATGATTCAATTATGTCTCACCAGGTACCTCCCACAACACATGGGAATTATGGGAGCTACAATTCAAGATGAGATTTGAGTGGGGACACAGCCAAGCCATATTAACACACTCAGAGGGATTCTGGGGTAACTTTAAGTAGACTGAATAAACCCTTCCTCTCCCTAGCCCACTCAAAATAATCCCAGGCAGAAATAAGCATTCCAATTTTGTTAATTCCATAGTACTTCGGTCTTGTGCCAGAAACATGACTGTAAATAATAATACTTGGTGTTAGAGTTAGATGTGCTCTTCCTAATGACTTCAGGCCCAGTGCAAGCTCCTCCACTAGGAAATTTCTCATTCATCTTGCTATTCACAACTCCTTGACTAGTTTCTGGTACTTACTAAGCTTTAATAAACAATCATGAATGATAGTGAGGAAAAAAAAAAGTAACTTTTACTGTCACATTGTTAACTAATGTTAGAATTAAGACTAGAACTACATCCATGATCCTTCCACACATAATCTCACAGATACGTGTCATCTCCTGAAAGTGCAACTTTCATCATGTCATTTTCCACTTTAATGTCAAACAAACAAAACCTAAATGGCTCCCCCATCACCCAGAGAACTCTGAACTCCCATCAAATCTGCTCAACCCCAGTCTCCTCCAGCTTCCTCCCACTTCATTAACCAAAAATTCAGGAGTCTTTCTTAATTCCTCTCTTTCCCTTGTAACCTTCATGAACAAGTCCTATCAGATCTGCCTTCAAGATATATCCAAAATCTGTCTCTTTGCTCCACTTCCTATCTTCCTTGTCCAAGGTACCAGCACCTCTCATTTAGCTATGAAAATATCCTTCTTGTTAATTACCAAAAACTAGTCTCCCTGCTTCTAGCCTTGCCCATCTCAAATCTATTTTTCACATACAGCAGTAGAATGAACTTTAAAAAAAAAATCTGTCGATCATATCCTATCACGTCCCTGATTAAAACCTTCCATTGCATTTAGGGAAACACACAAACTCATTACCATGGCCTAAGAGACCTTCCATAAACTGATCCACTGCCTACCTCACTTGACCTCATCATTCCAACTGTCCTTCCCCCTTGATCATCATTCTTTAGTCATACAACCACTTCCCACTTTACAGCCTGTTCCCTCTCCCTGGAAATCCTTATGGATGCTTGCTTCTTGTCATCAGAGTCTCAGCCTAAATGTCACTCACTTACAGACGTCTTCCCTGACCACGTAGGAGCCCCATCAATCCTGTGATCTCAATCACTGTCCAGTGTTTTTCCTTCATAGCTCTTACCAAAACCTAATATTTTCTTGTTGATTTTTCTCTCCACCCCTTTGTCTTGTTTAACGCTGAGTTTTCATTGCTTCAAACAGCTCCTGACACATAATGAATCTTTAATAAGTATTCACTGAATGAAAAAAAATGAATGAGGTCCAAATAACTTGACTGGCCATTCAGAGCCTTCTGTTAAGATACCAAATTATTTTTCTGGCTACTACTCCCCTTTCACAACCATGTGTTTCCAGCCACATTTCACAGTTTGTTTCCTCTACACTCAGTACTTCTGAGAACTGCTCAATGACTGAAGGGCAAACCCAGCTAAAAATGTGAAGTAGGTCACATTGGCCTTTAAGTTCTCTATTTAAATCTCTCTTCACTCTCCATGCCCACCGTAAGATGTCATCTTTTTTGGGGACTTTGTAAATTTAATTATTCCCTAGATGCTCAAGACTATAAACAACACAGATAGCCAGGTCATTGACACACAATTTTATTTACATTTCACTTAGGTTGGGCAAGTGCCTCATAATGATCTGGAGATTTGGTATCAGAGGTTTCTGCCCAGGAAAAAAAAATTAATAAAATTTCACTTTTCTAATTAAGCAAATTATGTTATTTTCACTATCTGACATGCCTTAGGGATGGACATTTTTAAAGGAGAAGGCTGTCTTACTTACTCTCTATGCCAGCCCCACGTTTCTAGACCAATTTGCTGTTTGGATGTTAGTCTTACTGGCATCTCAATAAGGATGTCTCTGTACAGAGTAGCTAGACAAGACATGGTTCCCCATTCATGTTAATGTGGTTCACCAGCCAGGTGGGACAGAACTGCACAGTTAAGCTGAATATTTCTCTTTTATCAACACATAATTCAGATCAGTATTATCTTTCCGATATTCATAAAATATAAGACAATTGGGTAACTTTATCAAAAAGACAAACATCTTTAGTGTCAAAATTATCATTTAATTCATCACCTTTGTTTCTCTGCATAATCTTTCCGACTATATAAATAGGTACCATATTTAGGTATCATATCTAGAACCTAGTATCTGGCACATTACAGTGCATAGACACTTAAGAAAAAGATTTGTTGAATAAATAATTTCCTTTGAAAATATTTTGAGAAAAGAAATTGATACTAAGGTTGTCATTCTAAAAAGCAGATCTACTTAGCAGCTCAATAATCTAAAGCATTTACTTCTGAAATGCTGAATGTGTACATACAGCCTTCAAATAAACAGCGTGCTCTCCTATTGAAAATTCATTTGTCGTGTTCTGATTTGGGCTAATTCTGAGAAATCTGGTGAATCACTACTCTTGGTAAGACAGAAAATATAGCAGCTCTTCTCACTGTAAAATCTTACTTCAAATTTAGTCAAGCAGTGTCTCTATACTTACATATGAGAATAAACTCTCAAAAAATCCAAATCCAAACCTGGGTGATTTATTTGTTAATTTAGTCAAGCAGTGTCTCTATACTTACATATATGAATAAACTCTCAAAAACCCAAATCCAAATCTGGGTGTTAAATATTTGTTCCCTTGGAAAAAATGCTCCCTATACTTAAGGTAAGAGCACATCTTGATAATTTATCATTTATCATAAGTTTTCTCCCTTTCAGCCCGGATACCACCTCTCCAAATGTGGTAAAATCAATTGCATATTGTTTCAATTTCAGGGCACTGCTGAAGTCGAGGGGATTTATTGCATCCCGAGTAGCTCATCTGTCTATGAATGCAGCAGACTTAGTACCGAGTCAGTAAAAAAGAAAATTTGATAATTTTTAAAAATGTACCTACTTGGGAAAAAAAGAAAAAACATTTTAGGTTGATAAGTGTTATATAATTGATTGCCAACTGTAAAATGTAATGGTGATAATTGTCAAGGTTCCAATATTGTGTACATAGCTTTCTACACATTTTTATTTTATGTCCAGAGCCTTCATTGAGACCATCTGGCAACACTCACTTCCTTTGCCTTTTTTCCATCAGTAATAAATTGTGCTGCTTCTCGTTTCCTCAGCCATGTACCCCTTAATGAAGTAATTGAAGCTCTCAGGGCTTAACTTGATGCTGCTTTTAGATTACATTTGTGTTTTCACAGTTGCCTTCAGTGATGCAACCTCAAAGATTAACTAGAAGTGGGAATTCCCAGCCCTATAATGATATCATTTGGTGGGAGGGTAGGGGGATGTTTCCTGGAGCCTCTCAAATCCCCAAGATAGATAAATGGAGTTAGAAGAGGTTTTGTTTTTGAAACTGTACATGTGTGAAAAAGCCAGGAGGGAAAGGGAAAAGTAGAATTCTATGGAGTTTAGACACCATCCAAAACAGCTTTAACCCTGATGATCTAACTGAATTTAATAAAATAAGGATGGGGGATACAAACTAAACTTTTCTGAGTCACTGAAGGTAATTTCAAGAAAAGAAAATCCCTGAATATGTCTTTCGACACACGCACACCTTTTAGCACAGACTGCCTAAAAGATTTCGGAGGCCAATGGCACCAGATGGTGGTAAGATGTAAGAGCTTTCCAATATAGCTATTAGGAAAGCAGTTAAAAGTTGAAGTCAGGTTGGCCTTCTGGTTAACAGATGTACAGTTCAAATGACTGTTATGCTGTTAAAAATAAGAAGAACAGAAAAGAAAAAGAAGAAAACAATGGGTAGTTACTCAATGGTAAATTCAACAGATTTTCTTGCGAATCCATTGAAGTCATAAAATAGTCACGAGATAACACAAAGTGAATTTCAGAATTTAAAAAGAAAGGAGCTGAACTGAGCTTCATGGCAGGGCAGGATCAGTCTCTCACTCCCACCACATCTAAATACCATTAAGGATACACCTTTAACAAATTCTCACACGTTTTCCAAAATACATACAGGTTTTCTTCATGTTTCTCACTGAACTAATATTATCAGTCACATTCCAAATTCATACTGATATAGACAGTTGGGTAACTGATCCAGTGAAATGTTTTTGGCACAAAAGGAAATACAGAAAAAGCCAATGGAAATTGCCCTTGACTTGCTTAAAGATTGGCAGGAAAGATACGATGTGTTAATAAGTACCTGTGTGTAGGTAGAGCTAGCTGCCACACATGCTTGGGTAACTTGTGCAGTGCACAACCTGCATGGCCATCTGAGACAGCCTCTAAGTAAACCAATAAACAACAGGAGTTCAAAGGAGAAAGAAGTTTCTTCCGTCTGAAATAGTCTGAAATATCAGGAATGGTTTCCTGGAAGAAGTGATATGTAGGTTGTGCATTCAGAGGATTTATACACACAAGGGTTGGAATGATGGTAGAAGGAACTCAACTGGAGGAAACAGGCTGTGTCTGACACCTAGAGTCCAGGATCAGTGAACTGATCTTGGTTCCGTGTGTTTGATGTGGTCAGCATGTGCTGCTCTAGCCTGACCTCTTCATGGGATTCCTTTTTACACCTGCTGACTCCCTTGCATGATCCCTCCTGCTTACAGCTAACTCACCAGAAGATCTCAGCTTAGGCTTCCCTGCCTATCACCCACCTTCCATTCCAGCCTGGGGTAAGCACCACTCCTGTATCTTCCCATGGCACTCTGGACTGATCTGTCATATCAATTATCACGTGTTTTGAACAGTTTCATTATCTGGATCCTTCACAAAATTTTTAGCACCCCAAGGGCAAAGACTGTTTTACCTTATTCACAACGATTTCTCCAGCAATGGACATAGTGCATGATACCCAGTATATGCTCAGAAAACAATTTTTATATTACTTACATAAAGATATTTAATTGCATCAAATTAAAATATGTTTGTGAGAAAGGGACCAGTGTCATATACTAGGTTGTCTGTACAGTTCAACTTCTTTCAAAAGTTCCTTGATAGTACCTTGATATTAATAGAAGAGAATTAAATTTATAGATGATAAGATATTCCTTTAATTTTTAAAACTCTCCCTTTAGAAATTGTGGACTATTGTCCAACTAAATAAATAGTCCATCCTCATCCCCCACCCACTAATCTCCACATGGCAAGAATATAAAAACACAGGAGTTTCAGCGATTCTGAAAATGTAAAGAGTATATAAAAGGCTAAGAAGTTGGGGCTTCATCCACTGCCCCATTTATCCAAAATATATTCACTTTATGCTAGGGCTGTTTGAGGCATTGGGGATACAGTTGGAGAAAAGATTGGGTACAGGACTGGGGAATTTAAACACATAAACAATAATCAAATAGATCTGGGAGGGTCAGTGCTATTGAGAAAATAAAATGGGATTTGTGAGAGATAGGAACGTGAGAGACCACTTCAGGTGGTTAGAGAGGGCACCTCTGAAGAAGGGGCATTTGAGCTGAGACAAGGATGACAGAAAGAAAGAGGACTTGAGAAGAATTTGGGGAAGAATGCGCGGGGTTGGGGAAAGGGCATAACATAACATTTTAAAAGACAAAGTTCAAATATTTTACTTTAAGGAAATGTAAATCCACTGAATGCCAGATAAGTATTATCTAGGCATCTGTCATTTCCCTCTCCATTGCCTTTCTCCTCCTCACCCCAGGATCACTCGCTTGAAAACAACATCTCATGGTCAGAGCGGCAATCCCCTGAAATGGGGGAGGTGAGATGTTCACATTTTATTTCAAATTCCGTTCCCCATGTATAACTCAGAGGAGTTATCCGATCTTCCCCTTCCAGTCCTGAAGCAATCAGCCCTCTTGCTTGCAAGCCACTGAAACTGATCCTAGCTAATTTAAGATGAAAATAAGTTATTGGAAAAATAGGAGAATTTTATTGATGTGATAAAAATGCTGGAGCATCAACCTTCAAAAACTGAACGGAAATGGGGGCCTACCCAGCAGAGAACAAGGACAAGGCCCTGACAGGAATATCTGCTTAGGACACAAAGCTGGGCCCTACTCCTATGTGATACACACCACTGACACTGCTATCATGGCTGTTGGTTGCTGGAGCACTGGATTCTCAACTCACCTTATTGCCACTGCTTCCAAGGATAATAGGTAGGTTTTTTAATCTTCTCCCCACTCCTTTCCTCCACCTTCAAGTAGGGCACTATTCACAATAGCAAAGGCACAGAATCAACCTAAATGCCCATCAGTGATAGACTGGATAAAGAAAATGTGGTACATATATACCACGAAACACTGTGCAGCCATAAAAAAGAACAAGATCATGTCTTTTGGGGGAACATGGATGGAGGTGGAGGCCATTAGCTTTAGCAAACTAATGCAGAAACAGAAAACCAAATACCACATGTTCTCATGTGCAAGTGGGAGCTAAATGATGAGAATTCATGTAAACAAAGAAAGGAACAACAGACATTGGGGCATATTTGAGAGTGGAGAATGAGAGAAAGGAGACTAGCAGACAAACTATGGAGTACTAGGCTTAGTACCTGGATGATGAAGTAATATGTACAACAAACGTCTGTGACATGAGTTTACCTACATAAGAAACCTGTACATGTACCCCCAAACCTAAAATAAAAGTTAAAAAAATGTTTAAACAACAACACAAAAGAAAAGTGTCTGTTCATGTCTTTTGCTCACTTTTTAATGGAGTTGTTTTTTGTTTGTTGATTTGTTTAAGTTCCTTATAGATTCTGGATATTAGACCTTTGTTGGAGGTATAGTTTGCAAATATATTCTCCCAATCTGTAGGTTGTCTATTTATTCTGTTGATAGTTTCTTTTGCTGTGCAGAAGCTCTTTAGTTTAATTAGGTCCCATTTGTCAATTTTTGTTTTTGTTGCAATTGCTTTTGTTGTTTTTGTCAAAAAATCTTTGCAGGGCCTATGTTCAGAATGGTATTTCCCAGGTCATCTTTCAGAGTTTTTACAGGTTTAGGTTTTACATTTAGGTCTTTAATCTATCTTGAGTTGATTTTTGTATATGATGTAAGGAAGGGGTCCAGTTTCAATACCTTAGTTTTCTCATTTCGAAAACAGGCACGCTGGTATCCATCCAATAGTGATATTGTCAGCATTAAATTAGGTAATATAGAATATGACAGTAGCTGTTATTTATGTTGTTGTTTCATTTCTATTTTGAGCCCTTAGTGTACAAGTTATTCTACATAAGCAAAGCAGCTACTTATGTCCTTATTCTAATTTTTGCTATTTCTATCATGGGTTTCCGTCCTCTCTCTTTCTGACATTTCATCATTTTTTGTTGTTATTGTCTTATCTGTCTCCTACTGAATTTTCTTTAATGAATCTCAATCTCCAAACTGACATGTTGCCCTTTTGTGAATATCAGTGGCCAATCTGAGAATTTCTTTCAGTTTATGAAACAAAAGAATGTTTTAGGCATAATCGTCAGGACTTTGGTTCTTCTCTGCTATATTCTTCTAACTGATGGCTTTGTTCTGTTGTTGAAAGAAAACAGATGTTGTACTCTTGGTCTTCTTTTCTATTTCTTTGTCCAGAATCACCCTGAAAATCTGGTGGTTATGGAAGGTTATTCTCAAGAAAAGAGATTTTCAACCTCAACGCCATTGACATTTTGGGCAAGGTAATTCTTTGTTGTTGGGGCTTCTTTTGTGCATTGAAAGATGTCTAGCAGCATTTCTGGCTACCAGTATCTCCTCTCTCCTTCACACCAGTGTGACAACCAAAAATGTCTTCTGAGGTGTAAAATCGTCCTGGTTGAGAGCACTTTACCCACACTTACTCTGCCAAGCACTTGCCTGAGTGATTTACATTTACCCTACTCTGTTCTCACTATGAAGTTTTTTCCTAAGCAATGTTTAAAAATTTGGCAAAACTTAGGTGACTTTGAGCACATCCTTGAACAAATGAACTAGGTTTTTCCAGTTCCTAACCATAGGCTGAACCTTGGACCTCATGCTATTGTTGACTAGGGTGGCTTAGTCTAGAGCATGTTTATGGGTCATAGCCATATCAGTATACTCATGAACGTTTATAGAGCAACCTAAGTGTATCCTTCTTATTTATGACTTGTAAGCTCACTATTGTTAAAATATTACAGTTCTTTAATTGTAAAATACCATTCATTGATTGTAGGATTCACAACAGCTTTTTTTCTACTTAAAATATATATTAAATGTTAAAAAGTATTCTTTTTAGCTTAATAAACCACAAATGGTATATGTATTTGCATTCCACTTTATTTTTCAGGACTACTCACAGGAGTTTAAGGATGACAGCCTTCAAATGTTAAAATGCACATTCCTGGCTCCTACCTTCCATATTTTACCTTGAGGATGAGCAGGAGATCCCAGGGATGCAATCAATTCTAAACAAGCATATCAGCTAATTCTAATGTAGCCCACCAACATACATTGAGAAAGATTGGTCTAAGCCTTCTTAACATTTAGGATGTAAAGACTGTTCTAAGTCACTGCTGTCCCTTGGCAGTCATGTGCAACATCAAGTGTCATTACACACCACTATTCAGGCTTAATCACAACCATGAGACATCCTAAACAGTACCAGGGATTCATCTGAACTCTCTACTTAGCCAAATTTGTAATTTTACTTCTGGTAATTAAATGATATACCACTGGGAGGTAGTTTGTCTCATAAGCCGGCTGGGACCTTTCAACTAATAGACATTTGATGCTGCGGGTGCCTTTTTGATGCTTACATTGTCTATACCAACTTCTGCTATCTTAGAAAATTCTCCACTTATTCTCCCAAATTTTCTGCAGCCTTTCAATATGTCACCTGAACTAAAACAGATAACCTTCCTAATGCAAAATAACTTAAAGATTGCACCATAAAATCTATTTTAGAAAAAGTTTTCAGTGACAGGGATATGCATTTCATTAAAACTTTACCAGAATGTGATGTTATTAATGTAGGCTCTTAATTGAGGTGACAATTGGATGATCAATAGCCTGACACCTGTTAAATTTGTGTATGTTTAGTCATTGACAACTACTTATCAACTTACCTTCTCCCTGGTGGCAGCAAATTTCATTTGACATTGATTGTAAGATACATTCAGATTTTTCAAATAATCAAATATAGGGAAGGTTATTTTATGTGGGGGGATAATGAGTAATTAGTGGGTATGATGTACATTATCCAGGTGATGGATATCCTAAAGCTTTGAATTAACCACTACACAATCTATGCATGTAACAAAATTGCATTTGTACTTCATTCATTATACAAATTTTTTAAAAAGTTATTTTACAATGGAAACAGGAATTCTCCTAGTTAAGATTTTAAGCCTAAGCTTTACTTTGCTAATCAGTGTGCTTTTCAAGAATATTTAAATGATTAGTTAGATTCATCTGAACAGGGGAAACAGTGTCTTAAATAGAATTTTGAAAAAAGAATAAATTTTACTATTGTATGAAAGAAATAGTACAGCTTCTGAATTAATGGAGCGTCTATTTACATCTCACATGGTAGTACCCATAATTAGCATGTTCTTAGTAAATGTGTTTGTTTCCTAAACAAAAACGTATAAGCTAATTCAATAATTAAGGCTTAACTTCCTTTTCCTCAACAAACCATGGAATTAGTCAAAAGATACAGAAGGAGGTTTATCAGACAGAAAGCTACAGGATTAAGTGTGTAAACCAAATTAATACCAGAAATTGTTTAGCTCTGTTTAATTTCAGGAGGGCATGTTCCACAGTGATAACTTTAGAGCATATTCAAGAATTGATTGTTTCTATTAATAAGATATGCCAATGCCTGTTTTATTTGGTAGGTTAAGAACCATCTGATGAGTTATTCTTATCCCATACAGATAGTACAAAGAATAGAAGAAGGGAATGCAAAACTTTCTTTATAATTCATCTTATAACTAATCTCATAATGAGTATTTATTAATCATATTTTATATATATATATATATTTTTTTTTTTTTTTGAGACAGTGTCTCAATCTTTTGCCCAGGCTACAGTGCAGTGGCGTGATCTCAACTCACTGGAACCTCCACCTCCCAGGTTCAAACAATTCTCCTGCCTCAGCCTCCTGAGTAGCTGCAATTACAGGTGAGTGTCACCACACCCAGCTAATTTTTGTATTTTTAGTAGAGACAGGGTTTCACCTTGTTGGCCAGGCTGGTCTCAAACTCCTGACCTCAAGTGATCCGCCTGCCTCAGCCTCCCAAAGTGCTGGGATTACAGGCATGAGCAACTGCGCCCAGCCATATATATTTAATAATATATTATTTATTATAAGTAATAAATAAAAATATTATAGTACTTATCAATAATCTTATAAATAATCTTACAGTAATCTGTTCATCTTATAAATAATCATTACCTACCCACCAAAGTTCTCCGATAAGTGTTATTTGAAGACTTAGGTAGACAGAAAAGCAAAAAGTAGTGGAGCTAAAGACTATTAAGTAACTTGCATCTTCATCCCATTAGAACCACTCCCTATCCACCGAAAAACATTTAGTCTGATTTATGGTCAAGTTGCAAGAAGGCAGCAAAGCCTCTGCAACGCAGAAGGCCAGCAACATCAAGAAGTTCTCTCTATTGTTTTCTCCCATTGAATCTGGCCTCTGAAGTGTTATGCCAAAGTAAGCATGGGATTTAGTCAAGGGAAAATCTCCTGGGATTCATTTCTTGGACTTGGAAAGTCTTATAGTGCATCTGCCTTATAGTGGCTGGGTTATGGAGCAGTGCCATGGCAACCAAGGTACAACTGCAGCTTCAGTCTCGCTGGCAGCATTGAGCAGTCATGGAACATAGGGACATCCCCCTAACAATTGCCATAGTCTAAATGTAGTGATATGAAGGCCACATAATGGTGGCAAAAACTGGAATAAAAAGGAATAAACAAATGGGGACAAAATTACAAAGAAGACTAACCAGAACTAGGAGAAGAGAAAGAGAAGGCAAAATCAAAAGCTATTTCCCTTTTGAAACCTATGAGACTGTGAATATAGCATTGCCATTAATAGCAATAGGAAAGTCATAAAGATAAATGTTTTGGGTCTCAAAAGATAGGTGAGGTTTGCAGTTTACTAAATTCGAAGGGCCAATCCATTTGGAAGTGTGAAGTTGGCTTGTCGGAGAATAGAAAAAAAAACTACTCAAGGGAGGATTTGGGAATTGGCATAAAGATGTCACTGAAACTGAAGAAGTACATGTGTTTTTCATGGGACAAAGTACACAGATTAAGCTTCTGTAGATGGCTAAGGATAAAAGTTTCAAAAATATTTCTATTTAGCAGAAGGTGGAGGAAAAAGAGGCATCTAAAAAGACAAAATTCTGGCAGCTGGTATATCCTTCACTTGCCTGTGAGCCGTGAGCCCTCCACACTTTGCCCACTCCAGTTCTACTCTGTCCGATGCTTCCACCATGGCCCAAGCTGGCATTGCACTGATTGGACTGGCTGTCATGGGCCAGAACTTAATATTGTGCATGAATGACCATGGCTTCATGGCCTGTGCTTTTAATAGTACAGTCTCCAAAGTTGATGATTTCTTGGCAACAAGGCAAAGGGAACCAAAGATGTTGATGTTCAGTCCTTGACGGAGATGGTCTCCAAACTGAAAAAGCCACAGGCGTATCATCCCTCTTGTGAAGGCTGGTCAAGCTGTTGATGATTTCATGAAAAAATTAGTACCATTGTTGCACACTGGTGATGTCATCATTGATGGAGGAAATTCTGAATATAGGGATGACACAAGACGATGTAGATACCACAAGGCCAAGAAAATTTTATCAGTGGAGAGCAAAGTTAGTGCTGGAGGAAAAGGATCCCAGTATGGCCTATCACTCATGCCAAGAGGGAACAAAAGCTGGCCCCTATCAAGGCAATCTTCTAAGGCATCACTGCAAAAGAAAGAACTGAGGAACTTTTCTCTGACTGGGTGGGAGAGGAGGGAGCAGGCCACGTTGTAAAGATGGTGTACAATGGGATACAGTATGGGGATATGCAGCTGATCTGTGGGGCTTACCACCTGATGAAACATGTGCTGGGCATGGAGCAAAACAAGATGGCACAGGATTTTAAGGATTGGAATAAGACAGAGCTCGACTCATTCTTGAATGAAATCAAAACAAGATGACGGAGGCCTTTGAGGACTAGAATAAGACAGAGCTCGATCCATTCTTGATTGAAATCACAGCCAATATTCTAAGATACTGATAGCAAATACCTGCTGCCAAAGATCAGGGACAGCACAGGACAGAAGGGCACCAGAAAGTGGACCACCATCTCCACCCTGGAAGATGGCATTCCTGTCACCTTCATTGGAAAAGCTATCTTTGCTCGGTGCTTATCCTCTCTGAAGGATGAAAGAATTCAAGCTAGCAAAAAGCTGAAGGGTTCCCAAAAGATCTAGTTTGATGGTGATAAGAAATCATTCCTAGAAGACATTCGGAATGACCTCTATGCTTCCAAGATCATCTCTTATGCTCAAGGCTTTATACTGCTAAGACAGGCAACCACTGAATTTGGCTGGACCCTCAATTATGGTTGTATTGTCCTGTTGTGGAGGAGGGAGGCTGCATCATCAGAGGTGTATTTCTAGGAAAGATAAAGGATGCATTTCATCAACGCCCAGAACTTGAGAACCTATTATTAGACGACTTCTTTAAGTTGGCTGTTGAAAACTGCCAGGACTGCTGGTGGTGGGTGGTCAGCACTGGGGTCCAAGCTAGCATTCCCATGCCCTGTTTCACCATTGCTGTCTCCTTCTGTGATGGATATAGACACGAGATGCTCCCAGCCAACCTCATCCAGACTCAGCGGGATTACTTCGGGGCTCACACTTATGAAGGCTTAGAAAAACAGGGACAGTTTACCCACACCAATTGGACAGGCCATGGTGGCAGTGTGTCATGCTCTTCACATAATGCCTAATCATGCTGTTTCTGTTGCCCGTCACAATTCCATAGACCGGGACGTTTCATGTATCACACAACCACACAACACCACTTAATGGTCCTTTGTTCTATTTTCTGCTCAGGTCTTTTAAAATAAAAGAATGTAAGAGACTCCCAGAAAAGTCATATAGAGTTTATTTATGAAGTAGCTCTGTGAGAACCATCATGCCCTCTGCCCTTGCCTCTTGGGACTGACCAGGAGCTGATAATGTGCACGAGAGTGAGAACCAACCCGTTGAAGCAGTCGTTCCTAAGTGCTCCCTGTGGACTAGTGAGGCTCCTCTCACGTAAATAGGAAGACTGTTGTTACAAGTTGATCAAACTGGAATATTTCTATCATGCAGCTGAATTCCCTTTTTCCTTTACTCAATAAAAGCTATATTTTATTAAAAAAAGAAAGACAAAATTCTGAAAGGGTATCAAGAAAGTTTCATGGCAGAGATACACATTTCAAGGAAAGAGCTGGTCAGCTGTGTCATGGATGCATTTAAAAACCAAGAGGAAACTGAAGGCAGATGACATTATGGTGAACATACTGGAAAGGAATTAAAGCAGCTTGTGATAAGTTGAAGGCAAATTTGAAGGAAGATCACTTGGTGACAGTCCTCTAGGGATTGTGCAGTGACACCTTATATTTCATCTCCAGCTCAGCCCGAACACATGGCACAAATGAGAATCTTCTCATATGAGGATTTCATCTGGGTTTATAACCTAGTCAGTTCTATTTCTTTATTTGCCTCCAGAAGGGCTAGAAGCAAACCCCATCTGCATTCCCAAGGGAGGCAGGATAAGGCTCATTAACAAGATGTTTGAAATGGCCCTGCTTGCAGTTTTACAAAGAAACGTTATGAATTAGCAGTGTAATATGTTACACGGTACAATCTCTCACCACCACAGACCCGGGATTTAGTGCTTTATAGTATAGCTATATTTTAAATAAGACATAATTAGTATCAGAACTGTCAGATTTCAGCATCTTAAAATTAGATACTAAAAGTAAGGTTGATAAAATTATTTTGCATCAAATATTAAAAGATGGTTTCCTGTAAGAAATATAAATATGGCATATCTTAATTTTCAAATTTAGCAAAACTGAAACCAAATCTTCCCATAGTAATAAATCTCTCTATATCATACAAAAGCTCTCTCTAGTCTATCCCGGAGATTTTAAATAAAGTGTAAAATTAACACATTTAATTTCTGTAAAATATTTCATATTTCCTTCTTGATGTATGGCACTCCTCTAGATTTTATGAATATATTCTGGAATTTACTGTTGCTATTTCAAATACTTTATCATATTTTGTTATACTGTATGATGCATTAGAAATTGATGAAGAAATAAGACTACAATTTGATTAATTATAGGCCAGAGGTTTTAATTATGCCTTTCAGTTAATCAAAGTAATTTCCTCTGTTATAACAGAAGTAATCCTTTTACAGACTTTTTTTTTTTTTTTTTTTTTTTGAGATGGAGTCTCTCACTCTGTTGCCCAGGCTGGAGTGCAATGGCACGATCTCAGCTTTACAAAAACAAAAAGGCTTTATAATCCTAGGCTTACTTTTACTCACCATTGTTTACTAATTGAAGTTTAGAAATATTTAATGCAAGTAGTGGCTATGGTTTATTTTATTATTATTATTATTTTTTTGAGACAGGGTCTCACTCTGTCACCCAGGCTGGAGTGCAGTGGTGCAACCTTGGCTTACTGCAACCTCTGCCTCCCATGTTCAAGTGATTCTCCTGCCTCAGCCTCCCTAGTGGCTGCGACTACAGGTGCCTGCCATGGTGCCCAGCTAATTTTTGTATTTTTTGTAGAGATGGGGTTTCACCATTTTGGCCACGCTGGTCTTGAACTCCTGACCTCAGGTGATCCGCCTGCCTTGGCCTCCCAAAGTGCTGGAATTACAGGTGTGAGCCACCGTGCTCGGTCCTTTTACAGACATAATTTTTATGCACAGTCAATAATCCTACATTTTATAGAGTTATATCTAATTATAAATAGCAGAGCATTACATTGAACTAACCCCAGTATTCTCATAATGACTAAAGGTCAGTAACCAAGCCAAGCCCAGGAATGTGGCTGGGCTCCAAGAATAATCTAGAATGATCCAGGTTTTGTCCATGCTCCATTCTGCCCTTCAATTTCATTGTTTTCTTTCTCTGAGGACTAGCTTTCTCTGCTCCCAGTCAACATACAAAACATGGAGAACAGTAGCTCCCTGATTCTATGTGTTAGAATTCAGTCATTCAGGAAGAAACTAAACGTACTCTTTCTGTTCCAATTTTAAAATTCCTAGGCAAAAAAAATGGCTATTTTCATCAGTTGTCCATTCTTCGATGAGTCAACTCTGGTCAAGGAGTGGGTACACGTTGGAGAATAGGGTTTGACCCAACCTGTCAACTGGAGACAGGAGCCATGGACATGTAGGGCTCAATGGCTGCCCTGGATCTACGGCCATTATGATGAGGATGTGATGTGCACCTATACACCAACACACCAGAGACTGTCCTAAAGAGTGATAACTTAATTCAGTCGCTTTAATTTTTTAAAAAAATCAATTTTAAAAAGTCAATTTGCTTAGAAGAAAACTACAATCATAACTATTACTTGGGTCTGTTTAAACAATTTTATTTTTAAAAACTTTGTGATTTTGGTGATGCATAAACACACTGTGGTTATTTTTATTTGCCTATTGGGAATTCTGATGAAAAATTAGGTGAGCAAAGGGACATATTTTTTAAACTATAAGACAGCTGTTCTTATTCAGTCACTGAGTGATAAGGAGGGAAGTTTAAGGCTTAGAATTCTTGGTTGTTGTAGAAGATACTTGAGTTGCTGACTTTACCCTTTCATGTTTGCTTTCCTGCCCTGCAGAAACAAGAAAGTGAAATCCTTCTTATATCCCTGAATCCCCAGAAGCCCTAGGTAGTCCTGTTACTTGGTTCTGGTGAATGGGATATAAGTGAAAAACTATTGGTGCTTCCCCTTCTGTTCTTCCTGCCTGAAATCCTGGAGGGATACCTGAGGTGCATCAGCCACCCCTAAGGATAGAAAAAGAAGGAAAAGAAGAGAAAGTGAGAAAGCATGGACTGCCTCTGCTTGGAGTCCTCTTGTATGAGGCAGACAAATTCCTTAATATAAGCCACTCTGTGGGGTTTTTGTGAAACTCATAGCCGAGCACAATACACTGGATATAGCTATCCCAGCATCAGGAAAGTGGCAAGAATTACTGAAAGTTGGTACTTAAAGGTAGCCAATTGCTACTGCAAATCTTTTTGCCCTTGTGATGGTTAATTTTATGTGTCAACTTGATTGGGGCATAGGATGCCCAGATATTTGGTCCAACATTATTCTGGGTATGTCTGTGAAGGTGTTTCTGGATGAGATTAACATTTGAATCTACAGACTGAGTAAAGTAGATTGCTTTCTCTAATGTGGGTGGGCCTCATCCAGTCAGTTAAAGACCTGAGTAGAACAAAAAGGCTGAATAAGAGGGAACCTCTCCTGCTTGACTGCATAAGCTGAGACCTTGGTCTTTTCCTGGTTTTGGACTTGAAATGAAAAATAGACCCTTGAGTATCAATACTGCCAGCTTTAAGACTGAAACTTACACTACTGGCTCTCTTGGTTCTCAGACCTTTGGACTCAGGCTGGAACTACACTATCAACTCTCCTGGGTCCCCAGCTTACTGGGGATCTTGTACTGGGGGCTGCAGATCTGAGACTTCTCAGCTCCATAATCATGTCAGCCAAATCATAATAAATGTCTCTCTGTCTCTCTAATTTTTCTTTCTCTAGAGGCCCTTGACTATTTGGGAGGTGTGGTAGGCTGAATAATAGCCCTCCCAGAGATATCCACATCCAAAATAACAAAAACCTGTGAATATGTTACGTACATGGTTAAAAAGACACTGCAGATGTGATTAAGTATCTTGAGATGGAGAGATTATCCTGAGTTATCTCGGTATTCACATGGGTTCTTGTAACAGAGAAGTAGGTAGGTCAGAGACATGGAAAGAAGATATGGAGTTGGAAGCAAAGTTCAGAGAGGAAAGAAGATGCTACCCTGCTGACTTGGAAGACAGAAGAAGAGGCCTTGAACCAAGGAGTAGAGGTAGCCTCTAAAAACTGGAATAGGCCAGAAAATTGATTCTTACCTAGCACCTCCTAGGCAGCCCCATGGACCCATTTTTTACTTCTGACCTCCATAATTATAAAACGTTAAACTTGTGTGTTATACTACTAAGTGTGTTTTAATTTGCTAGGGCAGCAGTAGGAAACTAACATAGGGGATTTGATTAACAGTATAAATGCAACTGGACTCCAGCAAGTGTTCCCAAAGAATCACACAACCTCTACTCACCCCTCAAATCCATTCAGGGCACAGTGGGGTCAGCATGCGACCATGCACTTTCAGCAGATTAAAAGTTTCCTTTTTGATCTAATAAGAACAGCAATGTAGACTTAATGGCAAATTTGGTTTCTTATATCCAAAATTGAATTTTGAACTCAGCTACCAAGAGGTGTTTGTGACTAGGCTGTATCTACTGAGTAGAAATTTCATTCAAGTGACATTTGACATAGAACTCTCTAGATGCATGATTAATTTTTGCAGATCAGGTATTACCTCATTATCAGATGTGTAGAAAGTAACAATGTAATCATAAAGCAGCTATTTTCAGTGCACTCCGCCAGGTTATTTCTCTGCCAAATCATTATGCCCTGGGAAACAGCACGTGGCATTATCAAAACAAGTTTGTTCTCATGAGCAGTCAGTTCAGATAATTGCATCTTTATTACTGACAGTCCCCTTAGGAAATCTGGGTCCTGAGTTCTGTTCTTCTCTGGAACTGCAATTCATTAAAGTTTCCATCCTGAGCCAGTTTTAATTAAACTGTGCTCCTTTTCTCTTTAGTGTCACATAGCTCATTTTTCCTGGCAGGCTAGAGTTATTGTAGAAATCCAGCTGTTGAATTAATCTGAGACCCCTTCCTATTTGTCATTTTAAGAAATCTCCTGTCAATTTACAAGTTCAGCAGCTGAAAGAGCATAAAATGTACCAGCTTGCACAAAAAGAACATGAAAAGCAGGAAAGGAAAACGAAAAAGAAAGGAAATACTAGGTAGTACCTCACTCTGCATCTTTTAGAAAATAAAACTAGTACTTGGAGACATTCATAAGCTGACGTGATGTTTATGGCAATAATACTAGGTGATAAATTTAATGTCTTAAATATAGATTTTGTTTAGCTCTTTTCATTCCGAAATTAAACTGCCTTGTAACTGGTATGGTATGATTCATAACTTTTCATCCCCTTTCCAATAGGATTCTCTTAACTGGCTATAATCATTCTTTTTTTATGCACAAAATAAAAGAGATTTGTTTGTTTGTTACTTATGTGTTTTCACTGACAAGCAATAATGCATCATTAACTGCATCTCTTGTTAGTTGTCATTATTGGTTTGCAGAGTGATAACTTTGTCTCAGCAACACAGGTTCTCCCTCATTATGGGTAAGAATAAAAGAGCCTTTTTGTTCATTCAACAATCTAATAAATATTCATCGAGTGCCTTCTTTGTGAAAGGCCTAGCACAAGACAATGCATAGAATATAAAACTGTCTAAGATAGGCTCTATTTTCTGGCAATTTATTGAGGTAACTTACACGTGTTGACTTTCAGGGACTCAGGGACTCTTCACCGCATTTCCTTTTATCCCCCTTCCCCTTGACAATGTTTGGGAAAGAGGATTTGACAATAGAAAGTCTGAAGAAGGTGGGCTGGGTATGGTGGCTCACACCTGTAATCACAGCACTTTGGGAGACCAAGATGGGTGGATCACTTGAGCGTAGGAGTTCAAGACCAGCCTGGGCAACATGGCAAAACCCTGTCTCTACAGAAAATATAAAAATTAGCTGAGCATGGTGCTGTGTGCCTGTAGTTCCAGCTACTCAGCAGGCTAAAGTGGCAGAATCACTTGAGCACCGGACGTTTAGGCTGCAGTCAGCCTTGATCATGCCACTACACTCCAGCCTGAATGACAGAGATTCTGTCTCAAAAAAACAAAAAAAACAAAGTCTGAAGGAAAAGTGATTAGTTAAGAAGCATGGTCTAGTCATGAGGTTATTATAGGGACAAATAAGACAATAGGAATAAAAAGAAAAATAAAGTCACAGTACACATTTAAAAAGAAAGACTCAAAAGGACTCAGCAACTGATTGGCTATATAGGTAAATGTGTGGATACATTTTAAAAACCAGTGTTTCCTCTAGTTTTCTTAAAATACATATGACTATTTAAAGCAAAAATTAAAACATGGTTTTATGGGATTTAGTATAGATAGATATATAGGATTTAGTATAGATACATAGATATATGTAATACACATGAAAATTATAGCATAAAAGACTAAGGTGACAATAAGTGAAATATCCTCCATTGCTATGAAAATTGTTACATTAATGTGAATTGGCATAATATTTATTTTAACTATGCTATGAAAAGTTAAGGATATATGTTTTAATTCTTACAGCAACCACTAAAATTTAACGCAAGGAGATATAGCTAAAAAGCAATAGGTAAATTAAAATGTAACTCTAAAAATTATTCAAATAAGCTAAAAAAAAGAAGAAACAAAGGAAAGAAAAATATATAGAGATTGATATACAGAAAACAAATAATAAAAAGGCAGACCTAATCTAACCCTGTCAATAATTACATGAAATATATTAAAAATCCATACAGTCCAGTTGTATGGATAGTGTACCCATACACTTCAATCCTTTTAACTCCAGTTAAAAGGCAGAAATTTTTAGAATTAATTAAAAACAAAGCAAGGCTCAACTATTTTATGACCATATGAGATGAATTTTAGATACGAAGATGTAGATAGGTTGAAATTAAATGGAAACAGAAAGACTGAAGTGGCTATTTAATATCAAGTAAAGTAGACTTTAAGACAAAAAGTGTTATCAGAGATAAATAAGGAAGTTTGATCTGATAAAAGTGTCAATCCATCAGGAAGATACAACAATTATAAATGTGTATGTGTCTAATAACAAGGCAACAAAATACATGAAACAAAGATTGACAAAATTAAAAGGAGAAATAACTCCATGAACATAGTTGGAGACTTCAAAGCCCACTCTCAGCAAGTAATAGAACAACCAAACAGACACTTAGCAAACACATAAGAGAGTTGAACAACATTATTGATCATCTTATTCTAATTGCCATTTACAGAACAGTACATCCAGAATCAGCTGAATACACATTTGTTTCAAGTACACATGGTATGTTCATAAAGGAACTATATTCTGGAGTATAAAATAAGTCTAGTAAATTTCAAGAGGATTGAAATTATACAGAGGATGTTCTCTGACCACAGAGGAAAATTAATTAGAAAACAATAATGTGTCTAGAAAACTTCCTAAAATATGAAAATTAACACAATGCTAAATAAGCTAGAGGACAAAAAGGAACTGATAATAAGAATTGGAATATACTTCAAATTGAATAACAACAACGAAAAAAGCAACATATCAAAATTTGTAGACTGCAACTAAAATAGTACTTACAGAGAAATATATGGCTTTAAATAATTCTATTACAATAAAAAAGGGTCTAAAATCAATGACTGAAGATCCTTCTTGAGAAATTATAAAAAGAGAAAAGCACAAGAAGAGTATACAGAAGGAAGAAAATAATAAAGTTAAGAGCAGAAATCAATGAAAGAGAAAAATGATAGAAAAACACAGCCAAAAGTTTCTTTGAAAAGTTCAAAAAGATTTATAAACCCTAGATATACTAACTTAAGAAAAAACAAATAATGAATGTCACTATTGAGAACAAAAGAGTAGTTATTACTAAGAGAGAATAGACATTCTATCTTAGGATAGATAATGGGATAGAATAATGAGGGAATATTATTAACAATTTCATGCCAACAAATTGATCAATTCTGATGGAATGAACACTTTTTTTGAACATCAAAATGTACAAAAACTGACACAAGACAAAAATCTGAAGTGTCCTATATCTATTAAGGAAAACTAAAATAATTACTGAACTCTTTCTTCAGAGACTATTCCAGGCCCACATGGTTTCACTGATGAATTCTAACAAATATTTAAGGAAGAAATATTCTAACAAATATTTAAGAAATTCTTAAACACATTATCTCAGAAAAGAGCAGGGAACAATCTCAATTCATTTTATGATAACAGCATAATCTTAATCCATAAACTGACAAAAGACTTTTTTTTGAATTATGCATCATATCTCTTTTTTTTTTTTTTTTTTTTTTTGAGATAGAGTCTTGCTCTGTCACCCAGGCTGGAGTGCAATGGGGTGATCTTGGCTCACTGCAACCTCTGCCTCCCAGGTTCAAGCAACTCTCCTGCCTCAGCCTCCCAAGTAACTGGGATGACAGGCATGTGCCACCAAGCCCAGCTAATTTTTGTATTTTTAGTACAGACAGCATTTCACCATGTTGGCCAGGCTGGTCTTGAACTCCTGACTTCAGGTGATCTGCCTGCCTTGGCCTCCCAAAGTGCTGGGATTACAGGCATGAGCCACCGCACCTGGCCTATGCATCATATCTGTAATAAAGATAGCCTTAATTTCCTCAACTAAAATATTAGCAAATCAAATACATCAATATATATGTAAAGAACAATTACAAGGAGGAGTTACCCAAGAAATGTAAGATGGTATAACATTCTAAAATCAATATAATTCTTCATATTTTCAAAAAACGATAAAAACCATATGATTCTTTCATTAGAAGCAGAAAAATATTGACAAAACTCATCATTTATCCATGTCAAAACTCTCAGCAAACTAAAACTAGAAGAAAGCTGGGCACAGGGATGCATACCTGTAGTCCTAGCTTACTTGGAGGCTGAGGTGAGAGGATCACTTAAGCCCAGGAGTTTGAGTCCAACCTAGGCAACATACCAAGACCTTCATCTAAGATGAATTAAAGAATGAATAATAAATTTTAAAAATTGCCCTTCTGGGCTGGTCTAAAACAAACTGGAAGGAAACTTCAATTTGTTAAAGAGTATCTATAAAATCTTACAAGTAGCATTGTACTTAATGAAAAATATTGATTACATTCCCCCTAATATTGGAAATAAGTCAATAATGACCACTTTCATCTCTTTTACTCACAAGTCTTTTGGAGGCCCTTGACAATGTGATAAAAGGCAAAAAAAAAAAAAAAAAATACATTAAAAAAATTCAGATTTGAAAAAATGTAAAACTTTTTCTATCTGTAGGTTATGACTGTTTATGCAGAATATCCTAAGTAACCTACAAAACCACTACTAAAACTAATAAGCGAGACACAGGAAAATGGCAGATAGGAGGCAGGACTGACTTGCAGCTCCCACTAGGACAGACAGAGCAGCGTGTGGAGACCCACATCGTGAACTTTTGCTCCAAGAACTACTGCAGGAACATACCAGGAAAGCCAAGAGCATCCACAGACCCTTTGAAGGAGCTGGATTGCCACTGGCCACTGCAGGCTACATAGGACAGCTGAGGAACTCCAAAGCAAACGAGATAATCCCTTGGGAGCTTTATGGCCCTGCCTACTGCCTGAGAAATCTGAATTTGCCCTAGGGTGCTAGGGCAAGCTTGTATTCTCCCTATACAACTGCAGTTGATGTGCTCTTAAAAGCGCCACCTCCTGCCTGGAGGCTAAACTTCACAAAACCAGTGCAAAACCAAAAATACACCAAGACCTTCAAAGAGTCCGCTTCACTCGCCTGCTACTTCCACCAGAGCAGGTGCTGGTATCCATGGCTGAGAGACCTCAAAACAGATCACACCACAGGACTTTTTGCACACTCTCCAGTATTATCCCAGAGCCTGGTAGCTCTGCTGGGTGGCTAGATCCAGAAGAGAAATAACAATCACTGCAATTCGGGTCTCAGGAAACCCCATCCCTAGGGGAAAGTGGAGAGCACCACATTAAGGGAGCACTCTGTGGGACAAAAGAATTTGAATAGTAGCCCTTGAGTCCCAGATCTTCCCTCTGACATAGTCTACTCAAATGAGAAGAAACCAGATAAACGAATCTGGTAATATGACAAAACAAGGTTCTTTAATACCCACAAATGATCACACTAGCTCACCAACAATGGATCCAAACCAAGACGAAATCTTTCTGAATTGCCAGAAAAAGAATTCAGAAGGTTGACTACTAAGCTATTCAAGAAGTCACCAGAGAAAGGTAAAGTCCAACTTAGAGAAATCAAAAACATGATATAGGACATGAATGAAAAAATCTCCAGTGAAATAGATAACATTAAATTTAAAAAAAAAATCAACTTCTGGAAATGAAGGACACACTTAGAGATATGCAAAATGCACTGGAAAGCCTCAGCAATAGTATTGAACAAGTAGAAGAAAGAACTTCAGAGCTCAAAGACAAGGCTTTTGAATTAACCCAATCCAACAAAGACAAAGCAAAAAGAATTTTAAAAAATAAGCAAAGCCTCCAAGAAGCTTGGGATTATGTTAAACAACCAAATCTAAGAATAATTGATGTTCCTGAGGAAGAAGAGACATCCAAATATTTGGAAAACATATTTGGAATAATCAAGAAAAACTTCCCCAGCCTTGCTAGGGATCTAGACATCCAAATATGAGAAGCTCAAAGAACATCTGGGAAATTAATTGCAAAAAGTCATTGCCCAGGCACATAGCATCGTGTTATCTAAAGTCAAGATGAAAAAAATAACCTTAAGAGCTATGAGGCCAAAGCATCAGGTAACCTATAAAGGAAAACCTATCAGATTAACAGCAGATTTCCCAGCAGAAACCCTACAATCTAGAAGGGATTAAGGTCCTACCTTTGGCCTCCTTAAACAAAACAATTACCAGCAAGAATTTTGTATCCAGTGAAAGTAAGCTTTATAAATGAAGAAAAGATACAGTCTTTTTCAGACAAACACATGCTGAGAGAATTTGCCACTACCAAGCCAGCACTACAAGAACTGCTAGAAGGAGCTCTAAATCTTGAAACAAATCCTCAATATACACCAAAATAGAATCTCCTTAAAGCATAAACCTCACAGGACCTATAAAACAATAACACAATGGGAAAAAAAACCAAGTTATTCAGGCAACAAATGGCATGAGAATAGAATAGTTCTTCACATCTTAATACTGATGTTGAATGTAAATAGCCTAAATGCTCCACTTAAAAAATACAGAATGGCAGAATGGATTAAAATTTCACCAACCAAGTATCTGCTGTCTTCAAGACATTCATCTGACACATAAGGACTCACATAAACTTAAGGTAAATGGATGGAAAAAGGTATTCCATGCAAATGGACACCAAAAGTGAGCAGGAGAAGCTATTCTTATATCAGACAAAACAGTCTTTAAAGCAATAGCAGTTAAAAAAGACAAAGAGTGATATTACATAATGATAAAAGGACTAGTCCAACAGGAAAATATCACAGTCCTAAATATATATGCACCTAATACTGGAGCTCCCAAATTTATAAAACAATTACTACTAGACCTAAGAAATGAGATAGACAGCAACACAATAATAGTGGGGGACTTTAATACTCCACTGACAGCACTAGACAGGTCATCAAGACAGGAAGTCAGCAAAGAAACAGTGGACTTAAACTATACCCTAGAACAAATGGACTTAACAGATATTTACAGAAAATTCTACCCAACAACTCAAGTATATACATTCTATTAATCAGCACATAGAACATTCTCCAAGATAGACCATATGATAGGCCACAAAACAAGTCTCAACAAATTTAAGAAAATCGAAATTACAGCAAGTACTCCCTCAGACCACAGTGGAATATTATTGAAAATCAACTCCATACAGAACTATCAAAACTGTGCAAATACATGGAAATTGAATAACCTGCTCCTAAATGATTCTCGGTTCAACAATGAAATCAAGATGGAAATTAAAATATTCTTTGAACTGAATGGCAATAGTGAGACAACCTATCAAAGCCTCTGGGATACAGCAAAAGTGGCGCTAAGAGGAAAGTTCATAGCATTAAGTGCCTACATCAAAAAGTCCGAAAGAACACAAATGGACAATCTAAGGTCACACCTCAAAAAAACTAGAGAAACAAGAACAAACCAAAACCAAACCCAAACTCAGCAGAAGAAAAGAAATAAACAAGATCAGAGCAGAACTAAATGGAAATGAAACAACAAAAAAAAACTATACAAAAGATAAATGAAACAAAAAGCTGGTTCTTTGAAATGATAAATAAAATTAATAGACCATTAGCAAAACTAACCAAGAAGAGAGAAGATCCAAATAAGCTCAATTAGAAACAAAATGGGAGATATTACAACCGATACCACAGAAATACAAGAGATCATTCAAGGCTACTATGAACACCTTTACACACATAAACTAGAAAACCTAGAGGAGATGGATAAATTCCTGGAAATATACAACCCTCCTAGATTAAACCAGAAGAAATAGAAACTATGAACCGACTAATAACAAGCAGGAAGATTGACATGGTAATTTAAAAGTTACCAACAAAAAAATTCCAAGACCAGATGATTCACAGCTGAATTCTATCAGACATTCAAAGAAGAATTTGTGCAATCCTATTGACACTATTCCAGAAGACAGCCAAAGAGGGAATACTCCCTAAATCATTCTATGAAGCCAGTATCCCCCTAATACCAAAACCAGGAGAGGACATAATAAAAAAAGGAAAATACAGACCGATGAATATAGATGCAAAAATCCTCAATGAAACACGTGCGGACTGAATCCAACAACATATTAAAAAGATAATCCACTATTATCAAGTGGGTTTCATACCAGGGATGCAGGGATAGTTTAACATTGCAAGTCAATAAATGTGATACACCACATAAACAGAATTAAAACCGAAAATCACACGATCATCTCAATAGAAGCAGAAAAAGCATTTGACAAAATCCAACATTCCTTTATGATTAAAACCCTCAGTAAAATTGGCATAGAAGGAACATACCCGAAGGCAATACAAGCCATCTGTGACAAACCCACAGCCAATATTATACTAAATGGGGAAAAGTTGAAAGCATTTCCCCTGAGAACTGGAACACAACAAGGATGCCCATTTTCACCACTTCTATTCAACGTAGTACTAGAAGTCCTAACCAGAGCAATCAGACAAGAGAAAGAAATAAAAGACATCCAAATCAGTAAAGAGGAAGTCAAACTGTTGCTGTTTGCTGATGATGTGATCGTATACCTAGAAAACCCTAAAGACTCATTCAAAAAGCTCCTAGAACTGGTAAATGGATTTGGCAGTTCCAGGATACAAAATTAATGTACACAAATCAGTAACTCTGCTATACGCCAACAGCTACCAAGCTGAGAATCAAATCGAGAACTCAATCCCTTTTACAATAGCTGCAAAAATAAAATAAAATACTTAGGAATATACCTAACCAAGGAGGTGAATGACCTCTACAAGGAAAACTATGAAACACTGCAGAAATAAGTCATAAGTGGAAATAAATTGAAACACATTCCATGCTCATGGATGGGTAGAGTAAATTTTGTAAAAATGACCATACTGCCAAAAGAATCTACAAATTAAATGAAATTCCCATCAAAATACCACTGTCATTTTTCACAGAACTAGAAAAAACAATTCTAAAATTTATATGGAATCAAAAAAACCCACATAGCCAAAGAAAGACTAAGCAAAAAGAATAAAACTGGAGGCATCACGTTACTCGACTTCAAACTATACTATAATGCCATAGTCACCAAAACAACGTGGTACTGGTATAAAAACAGGCATAGAGACCAATGGAACATAATAGAGAACCCAGAAATAAAGTCAAATATTTACTGTCAACTGATCTTCAACAAAGCAAACCAAAACATAAAGTGGAGAGAGGTCACCCTATTCAACAAATGGTGCTGGGATAATTAGCAAGCCACATGTAGATGGATGAAACTGAATCTTCATCTCTCATCTTATACAAAAATCAACTCAAGATGGATCAAAGACTTAAATCTAAGATCTGAAACTATAAAAATTCTAGAAGATAGCATTGGAAAAATCCTTCTACACATTGGTGTAGGCAAAGACTTTATGACCAAGAATCCAAAGCAAATGTGACAAAAACAAAGATAAATAACTGGGACTTGGTTAAAATAGAAAGCTCCTGCATGGCAAAAGAAACAATCAGCAGAATAAACAGACAACCCACAGAGTGGGAAAAATCTTTGCAATCTACACATACAACAAAGGACTAACATTCAGAATCTACAAGGAACTCAAACAAATTAGGAAAAAAAAACCAATTCCATCAAAAAGTGGGCTAAGGACATGAACAGACAATTCTCAAAAGAAGATCTACAAATGGTCAACAAACAGATAAAAAAAATGCTCAGTGTCACTAATTATCAGGGAAATTCAAATCAAAACCGCAATGTGATACACCTTACTCCTGCAAGAATGGCCATAATCAAAAAATCAAAAATAATAGATGTTGGCATGGATGTGGTGAAAAGGGAACACTTTTACACTGCTGTTGAGAGTGTAAACTAGTACAACCACTATGAAAAACAGTGTGGAGATTCATTAAAGAACTAAAAGTAGAACTACCATTTGATCCAGCAATTCCACTGCTGGGTATCTACCCAGAGGAAAATAAGTCATTATACAAAAAAGATACTGCACAAAAATATGGAACCAGCTCAAGTGTCCATCAATCAATGAGTGGATAAAGAAACTGTGGTGTATATATATATATATATATATATATATATATATATATATATATATATAATGGAATACTACTCAACCTTAAAAAGGAACAAAATAATGGCATTCACAGAAACTTGGAAGAAATTGGATAACATTATTCTAGGTGAAGTAACTCAGGAATGGAAAACCAAACATTGTATGCTCTCACTCATAAGTGGGAGCTAAGCTATGAGGATGCAAAGGCATAGGAATGATATAATAGACTTTGGGGACTCAAGGGAAAAACCTGTTCCCCAGAAACCCATCGGGATAATAAATAATTGTACTATAAAGATACCTCCATGCCAATGTTCATGGCAGCACTATGCACAATAGCAAAGATATGGAAGCAACCTAAATGCCCACCAATGATAGACTGGATAAAGAAAATGTGGTATATATGCACCATGGAATACTATGCAGCCACAAAAAAGAATGAGATGATGTCTCTTGCAGGAACATACATGGAGCAGGAGGCTGTTTTCCTTAGCAAATTAACAGAGGAACAGAAAACTAAATACTGCATAGTCTCACTTATAAATGGGTGCTAAATGATAAGAACTTATGAACTCAAAGAAGGAAACAACAGACACTGGGGTCTACTTCAGGGGAATGAGTAGGAGGAGGGAGAGGACCTGAAAATATAACTGTTGGTAACTGGGCTTAATAGCTGGGTGATGTAATGATACATACAACAAACCCCTGTGACATGTGTTTACCTACATAAAAAAATCTTCACATATACTCTCAAACCTAAAATAAAAGTTAACTTAAGAAAATGGGATGAAGCAAGAGAAAACAAATTCAAAAGCTAACAGAAGACAAGAAAGAATTAAGATAAGACCAGAACTGAGGAAGACAGAGACACAAAAAACCCTTAAAAAGAAATCAATGAATCCAGGAGCTGGTTTTTCAAAAAGACCAACAAAATAGATAGACCACTAGCCAGACTAATAAAGAAGAAAAGAGAGAAGAATCAAATGGACACAATAAAAAATGATAAAGGGGATATCACCACTGATCCCACAGAAATACAAACTACCATCAGAGAATACTATAAACACCTCTACACAAATAAACTAGGAAATCTAGAAGACATGGATAAATTCCTGGACACATACACCCTCCCAAGACTAAACCAAGAAGTCGAATCCCTGAATACACCAATAACAAGTTCTGAAATTGAGGCAGCAATTAATAGCCTACCAACCAAAAAAAGTCCAGGACCAGACAGATTCACAGCCGAATTCTACCAGAGATACAAAAAAGAGCTGGTACCATTCCTTCTGAAACTATTCCAAAGAATAGAAAAAGAGGGAATCCTCCTTAACTCATTTTATGAGGCCAGCATTATTCTGATACCAAAACCTGGCAGAGACACATCAAAAAAAGAAAATATCAGGCCAATATCCCTGATGAACATTGATGCGAAAATCCTCAGTAAAATACTGGCAAACCGAATCCAGCAGCACATCAAAAAGCTTATCCACCACGATCAAGTTGGCTTCATCCCTGGGATGCAAGGCTAGTTCAACATATGCAAATCAATAAATGTAATCCATCACATAAACAGAACCAATGACAAAAACCACATGATTATCTCAACAGATGCAGAAAAGTCCTTTGACAAAATTCAACAGCGCTTCATGCTAAAAACTCTCAATAAACTAGGCATTGATGGAATGTATAAGAGCTATTTATGACAAACCCACAGCCAATATCATACTGAATCGGCAAAAACTAGAAGCATTCCCTTTGAAAACTGGCACAAGACAAGGGTTCTCTCTCTCACCACTCCTATTCAACATAGTATTGGAAGTTCTGGCCAGGGCAATCAGGCAAGAGAAAGAAATAAAGCATATTCAATTAGGAAAAGAGGATGACAAATTTTCCCTGTTTGCAGATGACATGATTGTATATTTGAAAAACCCCATCATCTCAGCCCAAAATCTCCTTAAGTTGATAAGCAACTTCAGCAAAGTCTCAGGATACAAAATCAATGTGCAAAAATCACAAGCATTCCTATACACCAATAGCAGACAAACAGAGAGTCAAATCATGAGTGAACTCCCATTCACAATTGCTATAAAGAGAATAAAATACCTAGGAATATAACTTACAAGGGATATGAAGGACCTCTTCAAGGAGAACTACAAACTACTGCTCAAGGAAATAAGAGAGAACACAAACAAATGGAGGAACATTCCATGCTCATGGTTAGGAAAAACCAATATCGTCAAAAAGGCCATACTGCCCAAAGTAATTTATAGATTTAATGCTATCTCGATCAAGCTACCATTGACTTTCTTCACAATATTGGAAAAAAACTACTTTAAATTTCATATGGAACCAAAAAAGAGCCCGACAGTCAAGACAATCCTAAGCAGAAAGAACAAAGCTAGAGGCATCACGCTACCTGACTTCAAACTATACCACGAGGCTACAGTAACAAAAACATCATGGGACTGACACCAAAACAGATATATAGACCAATGGAACAGAACAGATGCCTCAGAAATAACGTCACACATCTACAACCATCTGATCTTTGAAAAACCTGACAAAAATAAGCAATGGGGAAAGGAATCCCTATTTAATAAATGGTGTTGGGAAAACTGACTAGCCATATGCAGAAAGCTGAAACTGGATCCCTTCCTTACATCTTTTACAACAATTAACTCAAGATGGATTAAAGACTTAAACGTAAGAACTAAAACCATAAAATCCCTAGAAAAAAAACCTAGGCAATACCATTCAGGCCATTGGCATGGGCAAAGGCTTCATGACTAAAACACCAAAAGCAATGACAACAAAAGCCAAAATAGACAAATGGGATCTGATTAAACTAAAGAGCTTTTGCACAGCAAAATAAACTATCACCAGAGTGAACAGGTAACCTACAGAATGGGAGAAAATTTTTGCAATCTATCCATCTGACAAAGGGCTAACATCTGGAATCTACAAGGAACTTAAACAAATTTATAAGAAACAAACAAACAACCCCATCAAAAAGTGGGCAAAGGATATAAACAGACACTTCTCAAAAGAAGACATTTATGCAGCCAACAAACATACGAAAAAATGCTCATCATCACTGGTCATTAGAGAAATGCAAATCAAAACCACAATGAGATACCATCTCATGCCAGTTAGAATGGCGATCATTAAAAAGTCAGGAAACAACAGATGCCGGAGAGGATGTGGAGAAATAGGAATGCTTTGATGTGGAGAAATAGGAATGCTTTTACACTGTTGGTGGGAGTGTAAATTAGTTCAAGCATTGTGGAAGACAGTGTGGTGATTCCTCAAGGATCTAGAACCAGAAATACCATTTCACCCAGCAATCCCATTACTGGGTACATACCCAAAGGATTATAAACCATTCTACTATAAAGACACATGCACACATATGTTTATTGCAGCACTGTTCACAATAGCAAAGACTTGGAACCAACCCAAATGCCTATCAATGATAGACTGCATAAAGAAAATATGGAACATATACACCATGGAATACTATGCAGCCATAAAAAAGGATGAGTTCATGTCCTTTGCAGGGACATGGATGACGCTGGAAACCATCATTCTCAGCAAACTAATGCAAGAACAGAAAACCAAACACTGCATGTTCCCACTCACATGTGGGAGTTGAACAATGAGAACACATGAATACAGGGAGGGGAACATCATACACTGGGGCCTGTCAGGGGGTGGGGGACTAAGGGAGGGATAGCATTAGAAGTAATACCTAGTGTAGATGACGGGTTGATGGGTGCAGCAAACCACCATGGCATGTGTACACCTATGTCACAAACATGCAAGTTCTGCACATGTACCCCAGAACTTAAAATATAATTTTTAGAAAATGTGATATACATACACGATGGGCTACTATTCAGACATAAAAAGGAATGAAATCCTATCATTTGCAACAAAATGGATGGAACTGGAAGTCATTATGTCAAGTGAAATAAGCCAGGCATAGAAAGACAAGCTTTGCATGTTCTCACTTATTTGTGGGAACTAAAAATTAAAACAATTGAACTCACGGAGATAGGAAGTAGAACTATGGTTACCAGAGGCTGGGAAGGGTAGTTGTTGCGGAGAGTGAAGGAAGGAAGGGGGAAGTGGGGATAGCTAATGGGTATGAAAATATAGTTAGAGAGAATGAATAAGATCTAGTATTTGATTGTCCAACAGGGTGACTACAGTCAACAATAATTTATTATACACTTTTACATAACGAAAAGAGTATAATTGGATTCTTTGTAACACAAACAAAAGATAAATGCTTGAGGTGATGGGTACTCCATGTACCCTGATGATGTGATTATTATACACTGTATGTCTGTATCAAAATATCTCATATATCCCTTAAATATATACACTTACTATGCACCTATAAACACTTAAAATAAAAATTTTTTGAAATAAAAATAAAAAGATCAACTTCCTTGGAATAAGATGTTCAAGACTTCCTTGCAGAAAACTACAAAACATAATTGAGATAAACTTAGAATGGCATAAAGGGAGAGAGATACATTGTGTATGAATGCAACTTCCAACATCGCAAAGATATGTTTTCTTCAATCAAAATAACAGGACTTTTTTTGGAATGTGGCAAGCTGATTCTAAAATTGTAATGAAAATGGCAGTGGACCAAAAACCATCAATATACTCTTGAAGAAGAGAAATAAGGTAGGATGACTTGCTATACTGCATATCAAGGCTTATTTGAAAGCTACAGTAAATAAGAGAAAAATAGACAACTGTACCAACAGAATACAATAGAAAAGAAAAAGACCCTTGTTTATAAAGAAACTTGATATACAATACAGTAACCACTAAAGAACAGTGGGGAAAATTCGGTAATTTGAATAAATGATTCTGGGCAGATTGGATATCCATTTGGAAACAGAATAGAATCTTAATTACCTGCCTCCTACCCTACACAAAGTCCATTCCAAGTAGAACTTAGTTATAAATATGACAGAACAATAAACTTTCTAGAGAAAAACATAATAGAATATTTTCATCATCTAGGCTAGCCTTAAACAGGAAACAAAAACCAGTTTCTAATCATGTAGGAAAAGATGAAAATTTGGGTTACAGTTAGATGGATAACTTGTTTTCATCAAAACACTTTAAGAACATGGAAATTGGAGATGATATTTGCAAAACATACAACTAACAAAGAGGTTGAATCCAAAGTATGTTTTTAAAAAAAACTCATCAAATCAATAAGAAAAAGAACAGGCAACACAATAGAAAACTGGGCAAAGACTTCAATAGGCATTTCACAGAATAAGATATCTAAATGGCCCATAAACACACAAAGAAAGGCTCAACCTCATCAGTCATTAAGGAAATACAATTAGTATCACATTGTGATACCATTATAAAACCACCCAAATGGTAATATTAAGATTGAAAATGCCAGATGTTTGCAAGGACATGAAACAATGGGAACTCTAATATACTGTTGACAGGAGTATAAATTGGTATAACCACTTTGGAAGACTATTTGCCATTTTCTACTAAATTTAAAAATATGCAAAAACCAACAACTCACTACTTCCACGCCTAGATATATACCCAATATAAATGCATACACGCATGTAGCCAAAGGTGTATACAAGAAAGGTCATAGCAATATTACTGGCAATAGGCAAAAATTACAAACATCTCCAATGTTCATCTACAATAGAATGGATAAATGTGGTATATTCATGAAATTGAATAGCATACAGCCATAAAAAGGAATTAATCCCAGCTATACACAACAATAATGATGAATCTCACAAATGTAGTATTGAGCAAAAGAAGCCATACACAGAAGAATATATACTGCAGGCCTTTATATTGCTTTTAAAAAGATGCAAAATCAAATTATAGTGCTTAGAAATGCATTCTTAGGTGGAAAACTATAAAGAATATCAAAGTAATTAGCATAGTAGTTAGCATATTGACTATTTTTGAACTGGTAGTGATTGGAAAGCTGCAAGGGGGGCTTCTAGGGTATAAGAAATGCACACATTCATCTGGTAGGTGACAATCACATGAGTTTTCTCTGTAATCACTGAGGTATATATTTTAAAATTTTGTCTACTTTTCTTTCTGCATTATTTCACAGTGGAGAAAAGTTAAAAGAAAAGAAGCAGATGATATAGTCTGTCAATTCATGTTAAAGTGCTGCAAAAAGATCAAATGGAATGAGAAAAAAATAAAAGCTTTAACATTTGATAGTTACAGGTAATGTGCAGCCTTTGGAAGTTTCAGGGAAGTCACAGGGAGAAGAAGTAAAAGAGCCAGCAGTCAAGAGTTAAAGATAAGCAGATAACAGGAAGCAGACAGTAAGTCCCGCCTACTCCACTTTGGAGGGAAAGAAAGAAAAAGGCACAATGATAGCAAGGAAGGATGATGCTACTATTTTATTTTTTGGTGTGTTTCTGTTAAGACTGAAACAATTTGTGAGTACCTTAGTGGACAAACAGAAATGAACCAGTAGAAAGGGAAACTGTAAAAAATGTAACAGAGATGTGATGATTATTGGATCAACACCCTCTACACTGTGGCCTCCAAACTAAACTGTTTTACATCTCCTCCTGCCCTTTGTCCCAACATTTCACAGAGCATGTGGGAAAGGAAGTCAAAATAAGAGAAATAAGAGAAAGCTACATGCTCCATTGTCCATCACCATTTCCCCAGCCGAGAGTAGATTGGAGTGAAGAGAAAGGGAAGTTTTGCCCCGAATAAGGGATTAATGTTCTGAAATAAATTGTCCTTGAGTTTGGAAGGCTTGAAAATGGATTTTTTTTTTTATGTCTGAAATTGCCCTAAGAAGCAGTGAGATTCACTGGTGGTAAGGCAGAGGGAAGGATGAGGCCAAGGTTCAACCAAACTTAAAGACAATTAGGCAAAAGGAATAAGCTTTAGTGATCTATTGTACAGAATGACTGTAATAAATAACAATGCAGTACATATTTCAAAATTGCTCAGAGAGTAGACTTTAAATGTTTTCACCACAAACAAACGGTAAGTATGGGAGCTGATGAATCTGTTAATTAGCCTTATTTAATCATTTCGCAATGTAAACATAGATCAAAATATCACTTTGTACCCCATAATATACACAATTATTATTTGTCAATTAAAAATAACATTTAGAAAAAAACTTAAAGACAATAATGAGAGAGAAAAAAAGCTGGCTAGTGATTTCTCCTGTAGTGGATGCTGTGGTTTTCCACCTAGTCTCTCTCCATAACCTTCTCAGGGCTGAAGCTCTCATTTCTCCAGTATTGTGGGTGTTGGCAGCTGCCTGCTCTTAGCTTTCTCAGGTTTGCCTAAAGCCAAAGACAATCACCCTTCTGAGGTCATACTTCCTTCCTGTGTCCCATGACTGGCCTGTGTAGAACACTGTGAAGGGCCCACCTGATTCCAGAGCTCCCTACGGAATGAAGTGAGGCCTTGGCCTTGACTGCCATTCAGCTTATCCTTTTACCCCAGGATTTCTCAAATTCAGCACTATTGACATTTTGACCTGGATGATTCTTTGTTGTGGTGGCCACTCTGTATATTACAGGGTATTTAGCAGTGTCCTTGGCCTCTATCCACTAGATGCCAGTATGTCTCCAGATGTTGCTAAATATATCCTGGGGTTCCAAACCTTCCCAGTTGAGAACCATGATGCAATCCTGCCCTTTTGACAGTACCCCCTGAGGCGCTGATCCTAAGAGCATTCCCCAATAAACTTCCTGCATACAAATCACCAGATCTGTAGCGCACGCAACAAATTCAGTTCACTCAATAAACACATGTTTATTTATTAGTAAAGTATACCTGTACTACTGTAATTATATCATAAACACTATAGAGCATAAACAAAGAATAATTTAAGGTGAGATAAAAAAATAAACATAATTAGTAGTTCTAGCATTTTCCCCTACTCCTCAAAAGAATGTTTACTAGCACCTTCTAGGGAGCCTAAACCCTACATTGGAGATCAGTACCCTGGGAGCTGGGAGACATCAACAAAAAGAATGTAGGTGGAGTGTTCAGCCTTACTAACACTGAGTTAAGGGAAAACAGGGAGGATACTTAAAATAAAAATACTAGGGGTGACATGGTGATGGGCGGCAAGGTGGAAAAAGTCTGGTTTATATCCAGATGGTATTGATCACTTCAATAGGTATTAGATAAAAGGGACTTGTAGCTAAATAAAGGTCATGTCTTACAGTGTCTACAAATTACCTACTTAAATTCCTATGAAAAAAAAGTAAAACGAAACTTTAAAAGGTAGCAAAGGTAATGAGAAGTAAAGATAAGAAAGACCATGAATCAAAAGTTCAGAGGGAATTGCTTTTAGTTGTATCATTATTGGTAGGCCAGGCGCAGTGGCTCGCGCCTCTAATCCCAGCACTTTGGGAGGCTGAGACATGCAGATCAATTGGGCCCAGGAGTTTGAGACCAGTCTGGGCAACATGGTGAAACCCTGTCTCTACAAAATATACAAAAATTAGACTGGTGTGGTTGTACGTGCCTGTAGTCCCAGCTACTCAGGAGGCTGAGGTGGGAGGTTCACCTGAGCCTGGGGAGTGAGAGGCTGCAGTGAGCCATGATCGTGCCACTGCACTCCAGCCTGGGTGACAGAGACTTTGTCTCAAAAAAAAAAAAAAAAACAAAAAAGTATCGTTATTGGATTATAGATAAATTCTTGAACTTCCAACGCATTCTTTTACCTCTAAACTTAACATTAGGCCATCACAACATTTTATGAGCTTATTAAAATAATACCATACCATTAGAAATAAATAGAAATTTTTAGAGATTCACACAGAAACTGACAGATAATTGTAGTAAGATACTTCATTCCATTATCAGTCCATTTTAGACGAAGTAGTAAAAATAAATGAGATACAGGCTTTGAATAATGTTAAGTAATAATGTTGAAAACATGTTTTTCCCATTTACATTTAAGGCCTAAGTTTCTAACCACTCTTGGAGCATTCTTCAGCTTTTTCTGAAAGTGAGAGAGTTTCAGGGTAATAATCCATGTATCCTCAGGACCAAGTCCCTCATAGATAGAGCTATAGAGGCCAGGTACGGTGGCTTACACCTGTAATCCCAGCACTTTGGGAGGCCAAGGCGGGCAGATCATGAGGTCAGGAGATGGAGACCATCCTGGCCAACATGGTGAAACCCCATCTCTACTAAAAATACAAAAATTGGTTGGGCATGGTGGCGTGTGCCTGTAATTCCAGCTACTCAGGAGGCTGAGGCAGGAGAATCTCTTGAACCAGGGAGTCAGAGGTTGCAGTGAGCCAAGATCGCGCCACCGCACTCCAGCCTGGCAACAGAGCAAGACTCCATCCCCCCCCAAAAAAAAAAAAAAAAAATAGATGAATCTATACACCTCTGTGTATTCTAGAAAAGCATGGGACAAGCTCTTTTCTCAAACACGACAGTAAATGTGTATTTAATATTATATCAAAAGAAAAAACAAGAAATAATTTAAGAGAAACTTGATTGGAACATTCTATTTTTTTGGTAGTCAAAAAGTAAAATAAAACAATCAACAGCAAGATTGATCAGCCTAACTACCTAAAACAAAGCAATCATCAAAAACAAATAATATGTACTCAAGTTTATGTCAATAAAATGTAAACCTTAGATGAAACTGATACATTCCTAGAGAAATATAACCTACCAATACTGACTTACCAAAAAAAACTTTGTATTATAACTGTTAAGTTGACTAAGCATTTAAAAATCTACATTCAAGGAATAAATGAGCTGAAATAAATTTACAAGGTGAATTCCACCAAACATTCAAAACCAGGTTACCCCAATCTTATTAAAACCCTTAAAAAATGAACAAAGAGGGAGCAAACATTCTCTAACTCAAATTCACAGGAAAAAAAAAAAAAAAAGGACATGGAGGGCCAAGCTACAGAAGAAACGCAAAATACAAATGAACATATTAAAAAAGATCCAACTGCACTATAAGCTACAAATTCAAATTAAAACCGTAATTAGGTGCCAGTTTTGCTTCTCAAATTTGCAATTACTTTGTGGGTACAGTGCATTGAAGACTGGTAAGGGAACAAATTGTTACAACTTTTATAGAGAGCAACAGGAGAAATCTGGCAAGATGTATCAAAAGCCCTTTAAAATGTATATTTTAAATAGTTATTCTACTTATAGGAATGTATTTTTAGCAAATAAAAAGAATTGTGGGCAAATAGGGATGTCTATTACAATATGATTAAAAATAAGAATCAATTAAAATTATAATATTCATATGTGGGAGAATTCTTAAATATATCCTAATATATTCATTCAAAAGAGTGGTTTGCACCATATAAATAATATAAGGAATTGAAATAATTCAAAGAATATTTAGCAACATACAAAAAATATGACACAATATTATATATGCATAGAATACAAAACTAGAGATGAAACATAACCCCACTTTGTATGAAAAACACTGAAGATTAAGACATTAAAGACATCAAAACATTGATAGAGATTGATATGGTTTGGCTGTGCCCCCCGCAAATCTCATCTTGAATTGTAGTTCCCATAATCCCCACGTGTTTTGGGAGGGACCTAGTGGGAGGTAATTTAATCACAGGTGCAGTTACCCTCATGCTGTTCTCGTGATAGTGAGTGAGCTCTCACGAGATCTGATGGTTTTATAAGGCACTTTTTCTCCTTTTGCTCAGCACTTCTTCTTGCTACTGCCATGTGAAGGACGCGTTCGCTTCCCCTTCCACCATAATTGTAAGTTTCCTGAGGCCTCTCCAGCCCTGAGGAACTGTGAGTCAATTAAACCTCTTTCCTTTATAAATTACCCAGGCTCAGGTATGTCTTTATTAGCAGCATGAGAACAGACTAATACAGAGGTTATTTTTATGTCGCTAAGAACATATGTGATTTTTTTATTCCTTTGTTTTCCCCAAGTTTTCTGCGAGTATATATCACCTTATAACCAGAAGAAAAAAAATAGTCTTTTTAAGGATCTGATGAACTTATCTATGGTGTAAGGGTTATAACTAGAGTAGGGATTAAATAGAACAAATGGAAAAACTTTGACTTATCACTTTAGGAAACATTGCAACAGAATTAAGAAGAATAAGTAAAAAACACAAACTATTTGGAGCTGGATAGACATAGTTTTTTTTTCTTAAATAAAAAAAAAGTATTATTATTTTTATTCAGTCTTACTCTGTCACCCAGGCTGGAGTACAGTGGGGTGATTATGGCTCACCGCAGCCTTGACCTCCCCAGGCTCAAGCAAGCCTCCCACCTCAGCCTTCCCAGCAGCTGGGACCACAGGCAAGCACCACCACACTCGGCTAATTTTTGTACTTTATTTTTTTTAGAGACAGGGTTTTGCCATGTTGCCCAGGCTGGTCTCGAACTCCTGGGCTCAAGTGATCCACCTGCCTCAGCCTCCCAAAGTGCTGGGATTACAGGCATGAGCTACTGCACCCAGCCTAGACATAGATTTCAGTCTCGATTTAACTACCTATTAAATATGTCATATTTGGAGCTTTCTTATCTACAGGCTAAATACCCTTCCTTGCATGACTCTTGTCTGAAACTGAGTTGACATAGTCAATGGGCCTGGCATGATGTCTAATGTAGAGTAGATTTTCCAAAAAAGTTTCATCATGTCCCCTTACTGATACCTAGATCTTACCTTTTGATAGCTCAGCCTTAATCTTTTGCCTAAGATCAAGTTAATGTTGCCAGTATTTCCACTATGATCAATTAAAACTTGATTCCATAAGGCCTCATCTATGTAAGGTAAATTTAAAATGACATTTGGCACAGCTGAATACAAAAATACATCTCCTTCCATAATTAATAAAGACAGGAAATAATTTATTCAAAGAGGACTGAAAAAAAAAGTTACCTGAATTGACAATTATTTGAGCTTACGAATCATTTCATTTAGAAGTCAAACCAGTTGTACATGGAGATGACTAAAGTGGGTCAATGTATTGATTAGATAATACCCTAGTTATCCATTTTCTTCCCTATCAGGAATTTGTAAAGGACAAAAATTTCCACATTGTTGTGAAAGGCAAAATTAGAACACTTCTCACTGAACTATTACATAAACTGTTCTTGCATGCTCTAATTTTATTTAAAATTAGAAATAGCTTCAGGGGTATTAATAGAATCAATAAATAGTGATATGTAATCAATATTTGATGTTGATAATTTTTTATTGATTTTACTGTGTTGATTATAAAGAACTTAAGGGAACTCTAGGCACCATGTTTCCAAAATATCTGGCTTGTTTAAATATACACAAAACAGAGCTATACACTAGTACATAAATAATCTAGATTAAGACAACTGTTTGTACAATGATTTTGTAGTGGCCTATATTTTTATCATCTCAAGCAAACATTCTTTGTCATGAGTCCTTGAATAAATGAAGAAAATATCTCGGTGAAAAGAAAATGAATTTTGCTTTTTTTGGGCATAACATTTTATTTCTTTCTATCACAAAGCTGAAAAATTGAGCAGTGATGCTTGTCAGCTTATTCTTTTCAGCTGAATGGAATGGAAAATCACACAAAATTGAACACAGAAACTGCCTTGACCTTCTCAATTGCCTGAAAATGGAAGTGTTTATTCAAGCATTTACATGGTGGCCCTGGCTCATGGTGCCTTTGATTAATATAAACTGTTTTTCTAAGATAAGCAGCTCAAGGCATATGCTTTCTTCACTTCATCTCTGCTAAACTTCTCCATCTAGCACAACTTAGAGGCCCTGAAAAAAAATCATTTGTTTGTCCTTTCTCACCTGGACTCCTGTAACAGGAACCCAGCAGATCTGTAGGCTTGCCCTCCTGTCATTTTATGATCCATTCTCCACAGAGCACTGGAGCCATCTTTATAAAATGCAAATCAGCTTCTCTTCCTTCCTTAGTTAAAACACTCAAATGGCAGCCGATCATAATTAGAATAAAATCTGAACCTCTTCCACATCTGACTTCATCTTGCACTACTAACCCTTTCCTCACTGGGCTGTAACTATACTCTCCTTTTTACTGTTGTTCAATCACACTAAGTTCATTCCCACTGCAGGAACTTGGCCTTGCTATTCTCTGTGCCAGGAATGCCTTGCTCCTAGACTTTACCACATCTGCCTTCTTTTTTGCATTCAGGTCTTGGCTCAAATATCATCTTTTCAGAGAAATCTTCTAACTTTCTAATCCAAAGTGGAACTCCCCTGCTCCCCGTTACTTTCTGTAGGTCTGTCATTGTTGTTTCCATACCACTTATTACTAGCTGGCATTATTTTATCCTTTATTTTCTTATTTATTGTTTTCTACTCTTCACTAAAATTTCATCTCCATAAAGGCAAATATCTTGTTGATTGTATTCACTGCAGTATTCTTAACATCCAGGATAGTGACTAACACATACTGTTCTGTTTGTAAATAGTTTTTACATAAACATTCATCTGTGCAACTAATCAATTGAAGTTTTTTTATTTACAAGCAACAGAAACTAACTCCAGTGAACTGGAGCAGAAAAGTACCTATTGAAAAACATGTTGAATTTTATGTGTCAACTTGATTGGGTTACTGGGTGCCCAGATATTGGGTCAAACATTATTCTGGGTATTTCTATAATGGTAGTTTTGGATGAGGTTAATATTTAAATTGGTAGACTGAATAAAACAGATTGCTCCCCCTCAATTTCTGTGGGCAACCATTCAATTGGTTGACGAAAGGTCTGAATAGAATGAAAGGCTGACCTCCCTGGAGTAAGATAAAATTCTGCTTTCCTGACTGCATTTGAACTGGATATTGGCTTTTTCCTTTTTTGAAACTTGAACTGAAACATTGGTTCTTCCTGGGTCCCCAGGCTGCCAGGCTTCAGACTGGAACTACACCATGGGATCTCCCAGGTCTCCAGCTTGTCCACTTGCCCTGCAGATCTTGAGACTTTCCAGACTCCATAGTCACGTGAGCCAATGCCCTATACTAAATACTAAATCTCTTTATATATGCATGTCCTATTGGTTGTTTCTCTGGAGAATCCTAACTAAAACAGAAAGATATCAAGTGGCTCACAGAATAGCCAGAATAACTAGAAAAAGAGCCTTGGAAAATGGGGAGGAACAAAGCCCTTAGAAGGCCAAAACCACAACTGAAATGACACAAAGGAAAAGTCTGGCTAGAACAAAGCTGCTTTTAGCCCTGCTAGTCGTGGCCACCGGACACCCTACTACTCTTGCCACTGCCATAGCTGCTGCTGGATGCTGACACTCTCACCAGACTGAACTGTCACTGTCCTTGCTTCTTTATTTCCTTTTCTCTATGCTTAAGTTTCCCTGCAGCAACAATCTTGGCCACATGTCCACAACCCTACTTGAGGTTAAATTATTAAAAAAAAAAAAAAAAAAAAAAAGCTTCTGGCCTTTGAGGCTTTTGAGATAAAAAATAGGTTTTGTCACTATAAAATCATAAAATGTGAAAAGCAAATAATTGCTTTATATATTTTATCATTAGCTATGACCTAGAAATACATTGATCTTGCTATGCTCATCACAGATCTTTTCATTTATTCAACAATCATATATTAAATATCTTATAATTTCCTCTATGATATTTGCTGAGTTAATCAATAGTTACAGAAACATGACCACAATCTCAAGATTGGCTAAAATTAGCCCCATAAAATATGAAGAGCTCTATAAAATCCTAATGATCTCTATAAAATCCTATAGATGCCTAGGTATCTATAGGCAGCTTTGAAAGGCTGATAAAAAGACTTACCTCCACTGCAAGGCCAAGAATTGGTAATCATGTAGATCTCCTGTATGAGTTCCTCTTCACAGCAGAGATAGATTTGGACCCTAGACCCAGATGTTGCATTCCCTCACGAAACGACTGTGAGCAGGTCTCTAAGCCTTGGTTTCTTTACCTGTAAAATGAGAATAATAACAAAGTTATTATTATTAATAGAGCCTTCTATTACTTCCTCACCAAGTTTTTCTGAGGATCATATAGAATAATACATGAGTAGGTCTCAAATGAAAGTATGCAGAATACATGTAAAATATCAATAGTATTGTTACGTAAGTAGTAAGACCCTATTGCAATTGAAAAGCCACATCCATTCTAATTGAAATGAAAGCCACATCCACTCTAATCACAAGAGCTACTCTCTTAGTTTTATGCTGCCATAACAAAAATACTTGAGATTGGCTGATTTGTGAAAAACGGGCATTTATTTTCACAGTGCAGGAGGCTAGGAAGTCCAAGATCAAGGTGTTGACAGGTTTGGTCATCTGGTGAGTGCTACTCTCTGTTTCCAAGATGGCACCTGGTGCTGCATCCTTCAAGGGGAGGAATGTGTTGTCCTCACATGGTAAAAGGCAGAAGGGTGAGGGAGCCAAAGCATTAATTATGCCTCTTTTATAAGGGCCTTAATCCCATTCACCAGAGAGGGAACCCTCATTGGCCTAATCACCTCTTAAAGGCCCCTTAACGCCATTATATTGGCCATTATGTTTCAACACCCGAATTTTGGAGGGGACACGTCCAGACCACAGCTGCTACTATTTATTTATCTCTTGTCCAATTCTCTAAATATGCATAGCTCATCATTCTCTCATTGTGTCTTCTCCTGCCAACTTGACTAAGTAAAGCATCTCTCAGCTTCTGGATCCTCTCCTTTTCTCTTGGCTGGCTGCTTCACATTGGAGAGACTTCAGCTAAACTAGTTGATTTCCCTCCATGGGGGAAGAAGGATTTATTTGATAGATGACTTTGAGGTAGGAAAGTGACCCTGTTTAGACCGACAAATACTAAGAAGTCATTTTTGCCCTATACGTCATGTTGGCTATTTTTACCAATCTTCCATAGAAAAATAAAATTCTCATTATAATGTATATTACCTATAAGCATTATCTTAATTATTGTAAAATCTCAGTTCCTGGAGATTTCATTAGTTTATGTGCTATGGCTGGCTACTTAACACAGAGTATTTTACATATATTAATTCTAGGCAAATATCCCTTTATGATATTTTAGCAACTCAACCTTTAGTCATAACCAAAGAATTATAAATTGTCCACTTGTGAATACCTCAAAATATGTACTCATTTTAACTCGCTAACATGGTAAAACATGGAAAACGTGATCTATAAAGAATAAACATAAGTCATGGTGCTCACAACACAATAGAAGCACAGCGGATAGATTTCTGTTTAAAGGCTCAGCTCAACAGGGAATAGAAAAAAAGAAAACAAATGTCTCTGCCCTGCTAAGAGAAGCCTTGCCTTTGTGTGCTGTTTCCTGGCAAATGAAAAGGAAGAGAAGCTCCAGCTTGTACTGCCCTCTTAGGATTTGAAGGAACAAAAGAAAAGTAAATACTTCTCTGCTTCTAAGAATGACATTTAGGCAAAAATAGTCTATCTTTTCTTTTTGTTTCTTCTCCTTCCTTTATTATTAAACAAAAAAGACTAATGCTAAGGTGAAAATCCTTTTTGAAATTATTTTTAATTTGTGTAAAAAGTTTCGTCATTTTTTGAAAATTATAGCAGAGCTTATTTTGTTTCCCTCCTTCAAATTGTCTAATGCGATATTCAGTTGTTAATTCTTGAGTAACTTTTGATTCTTTGGTGGTGCAATCAAAATTGAAGACCACCAATTTATTCAAATGATATATTATTCCAGCCACTATAAGGAGTACCCTCAGTTAATACTGATTGTAAATGATTTCCCTATGCAAACTAACTCCTTCTCTCAAAGCCTTTTTCCTAGGACTTCAACTCATTTTATATGCTATTATGATCTGAGTGTTTGTGATCCGCCCCCCCCCCCCAAATTTTTATGTTTAAATTCTAATCCACAAGCGATGAGATTAAGAGGTAGAACCTCTGTGAAGTGATTAGATCATGAGAATGGAACCCTCATGGACCAAATTAGTGCCCTTATAAAAAAGGTCCAAGGTGGATCACCTGAGGTCAGGGGTTCAAGACCAGCCTGGCCAACATGGTGAAACCCCATCTCTACTAAAAATACAAAAATTAGCTGGGCATGATGGTGGGTGTCTGTAATCCCAGCTACTCAGGAGGCTGAGGCAGGGGAATCACTTGAGCCTGGGGGTGGAGGATGCAGTGAGCCAAGATCATGCCATTGCACTCCAGCCTGGGCGACAAGAGCAAGACACTATCTCAAAAAAAAAAAAAAAATGGCCCAAGAGAGACTCCTGGTACTTTCCACCATGTGAGGACACAGTGAGAAGGTGTCATCTATAAACCAGAAGTGGGTCCTCACCAGACACCAAATCTGCCCATGCCTTCACGTTCATCTTGGGCTTCCCAACCTCCAGAACTGTAAGAAATAAAGTTCTACTTTCTGTAAGCCACCTAGTTGATAGTATTTTGTTACAGTATCCCAAACCGACCAAGGCATATACCCACTTCGATGATATGCCATGATGGTAGCCAATGCTAGCACAGACTTAAGGCTTAATAAAAATATTATCATGTCACAATTCTGACCTCAGTAATAGTACCAGGCTCCTGGATCCATCGGTAGGGTAATTTGAGACACTCAAATGGATGGCTAAAGTTATGCTAAAGTGCTCAGTCCCAATCCACACTGAGACAAGGGCTTCCACTACCACCTCTGTCTCATGAACCCTATTTCAAAGAGCAGTGCATGTGCAAGAACCATTTTCTCACTCAATCCAAAAACCATCACCAAAATAATGTCTGGCAAACTGCATTCCACATCTTCATCCTCTAACATAAAGTGTAAGATGATAATATTTTTATTAGTGTGACATGATAATATTTTTTATTAAACCCTAGCATGTTAATACAGGTCCCCATTGCTAAAATCCTTTATTTTTGTATCTTCCTGACTTTCGGGGTAAGATACTGAGTTGAATTGTCTAAAGAGAAGAGAATCTTCTTTGACAGTTTTTGCCAAGTAGATCAACAAATGCCTTTGACATTAAAATACCATAAAGCCTAAACTGGATGCTCTTAACCCCTGGTGTCCTATTCTTATGGATTTTCTCCTAAACCCTCTGGTAATTCCTTTTTAGTATTTTTCTAGGGCTCTTTTTTCTCCCTTTTCTTGTGGGTATTAGCAGCCTCTCTTTTAACACTCTAGACTGTGGCTCACAAACCCAAGTGATAACACAGATCTGTAGATGACATGAATAAATGAAGCAGGTGGTAGGAAGGAAAAATTATGTGACTCTCTTACTCTTTACTTTTTCCATCTTTGATAAAGTAAAGAAATACCTTTTCTCTTAGAAAAACAACAACCACCACAACAGAAAACAAATACAAGCATAATTTTAAATGGCAGCTGGTATTCAATGTCAGGGAGATAAGAAGGAGTGGATGTGTCTATGGAAAACAGGAAGCAGCTGTTTCTCAGCTTCAGCCAATGTCAGCCAATAGGCAACATAACCATTAGCAAATTTTTTTCCATTTCTCAAGACAATCTGAAATTCAGGCTTTCATTTGAAATCTCTGATGTTTAAAAATTTGCTCGAGGATAACATATCTACATGCCAGAAATAGCATGCTAAAGAGAATACATCTCCATGACAGAAATGGTCAGTGGGTTGCCAGTTCGTGGCTTCTTTATCACAAATTACTAAAGGCAGTGCTTTTCAAACTGCAGAGGACAACCTACTGATGGCTGATGTCACCAATCTCATGGGTTGCAAGTAGCATTTTTAAATGAAATAGAATTGCATAGAAGAAAATGGAATAGAAAGCAACAGAATTTATCACATTTAATGGGGTAGGAATTGTAAAAGGAGATCTGTGTGTGTGCATGTCTGTGTGTGTCTGTGTGTGTAGTAGGTCTCTGTAGGTCTCTGTAAAAAAAAAAAATCTACTGCTGACTGTAGTCAATACGTTTGAAAGTCACTGCCTTGGTAACATTATTTTACCCACTTACTGTCATATGACATTTAAATGCCAATGGTTTTGAAAAGTGTATCTATAGGCTAGATTTTTATCTTGAACTCAGACCCATATTTTCAACTATCTACCAGATATTAGCACTTGGATGTTCCACACGTCCCACAAATTGAGTAATAGAATGATTAAAATAATGGGCTTTGTAGCCAGATTTGAGTTTGAATTGTGGGATTTCTCAGCCTGTTTTCTCATTCTTAAAGTCGGAATAATTAAAACCTCAAAATAGTGCTGTAAGAATTTATGTCCTTAGAACAGTGCCTGGCTCACACAAAAATAAATAAATATCGCTTGAGCACCAACCACGTTCCAGGTATTGTTCTAGGCACTAGAGATTGATGAGAAAATTCAGCCCCCCCACCATATGAGACAATGCTGCTTTTCAGCGGTTTGAGAAAAAAGTTGAAATCAACAAAACATCCCCTTCATGTTTTACTGCATACATACAGTAATCCTTTTAAAACGTATTCCATCAGCAACCTTTTCAAACAGCACTTTGAAGTTTACTGAGTTATGACCACAGAATGACCTTCTTCCTGCTGAGTGTGAGTAAGCCTTCTCTCCCTGCCCCAGCTAACCACCAGGCAATTCTCAGAGAGGTCTCAGTTTTACTTGGGTACAAAATAGAACCTCTAATGTTATTGGGTGAAGGAACTTGTGTGCAGCGTTCCCAGGTTCTAGTGAATAAGATGATGTCCTTTGCCCTTGTGAAGTTTGCTGACAGTGACCACATAAACAGATACATACATGACAGTATAATTTCAGCTGATATCGTACTGTTGTAAGTATTGTTACAATGATGATGATGATTGTGATGATAAAGTAAAACCATAAACACATTATTTCCCCACTCTTTCTCCTTACACCTACCTCCTTCTCATCCTGTATTTCTAGCTGGATGAATCACATCACCTTTCACACTGTTGCCCAAGCCAAAGGCATCTATCTAGTCTATAGGCTCTACTCTATATTTCTGAAATCCATCTACTTTTCACTCTTACTATCATTGTGCTATGCCAGATTCCTACCATCACTTGCCCAAGGTTCTGTGGCAAACTCCTGATTGGCCTTTCTGCTTCCAGATCCATCCCCTCTTAATACATCATTCACATTGAAATCAGACTCCATCTAGAATGGATCTAGCCATGTCTGTTCATTTCCTAACCCTTTAAGGTCTCCCCATTGTCATCTGTAGAAAGTCTAAGCTCCTGGTGGATTTACCAGACCCTTCGTGATCTTAGCCTTGTTCAACTCTCAAGCATCATCGTTCTCAAATTCTGTCTTCTTGTTAATTAGAATGACTTACATAAATTTTTAAAGTTCTCTTTTACTTCCAGGCTTTTATCTAGACTACTCTTCCTCCTGGAAATCTTTTTGCTCTCCCTGCTTTTCTTACTTCCAACATTCCCTGCACCCCCCGCCACACCCACACACTTCCACCCTTCAATTAAGTGCACTTTGAAATTGTTTGTTTTCTTGACTCTCTCCTCTTAAGGGGAGATGTCTTTATTGGCGTATTCCAATTAACTAAAGTAAAATGCCTACGTCCCTGTATTTGTTTCCTATTACTGCTGTAACAAATTGTCACAAACATAATGGCTTAGAACAATATAAATTTATCATCTAATGTTCTGCAAACCAGAAGTCTGGCAGGTCTCATCAGGTTAAAATCAAGATATTGGCTAAAATCAAGGCATCAGCTAAAATCAAGGCACCAGCAGGACTGCATTGTTGTATTCCTTTCTGTAGGGTCTAGGTAGGATCTATTTCCTTGCCTTTTCCAACTTCTAGAGATCATGCATATTCCTTGGCTTGAAGCTGCCTTCTTTCTATTTTCAAAACTAGAATAGGCGAGGGAAGTCCTTCCCACTTGGAATCACTCTGATCTCCTCATTTGCCTCTCTCTTCCATTTTTAAGGTCCCTTATAATTACATATCACCTGGATAGTCCAGAACAATCTCCTTAATTTAAGATCATCTGATTAGCAACCTTAATTCTATTTGCTGCCTTAATTCCCCTTTGTCATATAAGGTAATATATTTATAGGCTTCTGGGATTAGGACATGGATGTCTTTGGGAGGCCATTACTCAGACTACCAGGGCCCCCATTAATGGCTCATAAATTGATATGCAAATAAGGTGTCCAGTGGATCATTACAGGGGCTGCTGTGGTGAATGGCTGTTATTCTTGCCTGCCTATCACTTATTTTCTTTCTTATGGCAATGACATCTTCATATTCCCAGAGGAGCTCCTTCTCCCCCAACTTCACACAATCTTAGTGGGTGTATTAGTTAAGGTAAGGCTTAATATCTAGTGCCAAAATTTCAGTTGCCTCAAAAAAAATTTTTTTAATGATTTCTTGCTCACATAAAGGTCCAATGAGTATTTCTAGTATGGCTATCCTCCTTTGAGTAGTTCAGAGGACTCAAAGACCCTGGTTCCTTCCATCTTGAAACTTCTCCATCGCAAAACACAATTGCCAATGTCATCTGGGAATCGTCTTCGATTTATTCATCTGGAGACAGAAAGGAGCTTGAACATGTAGGGAAGATTTCTATAGGGCACATCAGGAACTGGCATATATCATTTCTGCTCATATTCTAATGACTGGATGTCAGTCCCATGACTATACCTAATGAGAAAAGAGATTAGAAATGTGTTCTGACCATGCTCAGAAAGACAGGAAATGGATAAGAAGACCATCTAGCTGTTTCTGCCACAGTGAGACTGTTAAACAATAGCATCCAGGACTCCCTTGGCCAAGGGTTGCAGTTATAACCTAAATTCATTCAATCAGAAAATAAACCTTGAAAGACTGTCAGTTAAAATTGTGTTTAATTACAGAAACAAAAAACCACCACAACTTGGCAGCTTAATTGAGTAAGGCATTTTAGGTCCAAAATAATAATTTTGGGGATAGTAGGCCAGGACAGGTATACCAGCTCACTGATGTTATCAGACAGGAAAGCCCCTTCTATTTTCCTGCACCACTATCTTTACAATGTGGTTGCAGTTCTCATGGTCATAGGTTGGCCATTGCAGCTCCAGGCATCACTTTTACCTTCCAGATAAAAAGAAGTTAGAAAGCATAGGGTCGGGAAATTCTGCTGAAGGCTATAACTGTGTCCCATAGACAACCCTAACTGGGAGACTAGGAAATTAAGTATTTTCATTTCCTGACTTCCAATAGTGAAAGAAGAAAGAAGGAATTGGAATGGGTGCCGATTGAACACCTGTTTGCACAACTGGAATGTCTGAAGCCAATTCATCCCCAGTGCATCTTTAACATTTAAGATAATTGGTATCCCTGCATCTAGATGCCCCGAGCTGTTTGGCTGTTCGGGTTCCTGCTGTTTCTTCAGTCTGGCTCTGTTTATTTATTTATTTTTTTCCTGACATGGAGTCTCACTCTGCCACCCAGGCTAGAGTGAAGTGGTGCGATCTTGACACATGGCAACCTCTGCCCCCCTGGTTCAGGCGATTCTCCTGCCTCAGCCTCTAGAGTAGCTGGGATTACAGGCACACACCATCACACTCGGTTAACTTTTGTATTTTTATTAGAGATAGGGTTTCGCTATGCTGGCCAGACTGGTCTCAAACTCCTGACCTCAAGCAATCGGCCCGCCTTGACCTCACAAAGTGCTGGGATTACAGGCGTGAGCCACCACACCCAGCCCAGGCTGGCTCGTAAAGCTTTTCTTTTACTTCTCTGAGCTATTTGATCTTTCTAATAAGTTCAATTTATTTAGTAAAAAGTTAATTTCTGCTTCTTACAACCAACAAATCCTAATTGATACTACCTTATACCTGGATTTTTAAAGGTCCAGGAAATACCAAGCTTATGAATACTTCTTTGTTCTAGTTCAGGACCCACTGACACTGAGCCCTGTCAATGGAATGTCCCACTAACAATTTGGAATTGAAAATTTAAAAGAATATTTGGCAATCGTTAAAGTATCCAAAAAAATGTTTTTTGGGAACAGGAAATTTTCATCCGATTGAACATTTAGGTAAAATAAATTTCTCTCTCCATTCCAGAGGTACATTCTTATTTTTATGAATTGGCTAGTGACTGGAGCTGGTTAAAAAATGGTGCAAACTCTGTGAGTTCACTAGCACTTTGTTAAATGAAATTGATCACTTGTAAAATACAGTAATTGCATTAAACAACTGTCATTAACCATAAGATCCCCTTGATGATGTCTCTTACACAGCTCCACAGGGAAAGCACTAAAAGTACACACATGCACACACATGCGCACATATACACTAGCCAAAATGTTTCCTGAGTATAAAATAAGACAGGAGAAAACACAGTAGAGTAGTAGAGACTCTCAGCAGGAACTACATTTGAAAAAATAATGATAAATGATATCATGATAAAAATGATGTCCTTAATAAAGCTACTAACACTACTTTACATAAATAATGGCCACTTGTAGATAAATTTTAGAATCATAGAATCTGCTTCCTAATTTTAGAGATGAGAAAACAAAAAGCCAAAAGAGTATCCACTAGGCCACACTGCCACTCAGCGAGTTAGCAGGAGCAGCAGGATGCAAATCTAGGTATAAGCAGAGTGTGAGTTTGGTGGTATGAAGGAAACACTGGAGCTGAACAAAAGATCATTGAAAAATCACTATTCACCTTACACTGAGGCCAATCTGCAAAATATTTTATCATTTATTAAACAATTTAAGCACTGAATCACAGACTATTTCCGGTACAAAATATTTAATAATGAGTGTATCGTGTGTGTGTGTGTGTGTGTGTGTGTACGTGTGTGTTTAAAGACAGGATTACTTATCGTTAGGAATAGGTTATTTTCCATAAAAAGGAAGTTTGGGCATATGGTACTGATTAAAAATGTTACTATGGTATATATAAAATAAAAACAGAAAAATACCATCAGTTTGAAATCATATGAAAGAAAACATGGCATTTTTTGCCTAATCAATGTTTATTTACAAAATACTCTGCAGGTATTCACACCTTTTCTCCTGGAATTTAGAATGCAATTAGTCATACAACATAAACCTAAAGAAAAAAATTACAAGCGTAGTAAAAATGCAACTTGTTTAGAATTTTGAAAATTGTGTAGAAAAGAGTTTCACACAATTATTCAGCATGAACTAGCTTGTTGTTATCAGTCAACAATAACCAAAAAAGTCAAATGCCTTCATGGGAGGAACATTTCAAGGTAAACTATAGTCAACTGAGATTTTTTAATATCTCAAGCTCAAAAGCAAGAGCATATATCCGAAAATCAAGTATTAATGATTTATTTATATCTCTTAACAGTGTTGTGGCAATTGAGGGAAAGGAAGGAGGTAATATGAAATGAGGAGATAGCTAGATGATATTTATGGAATGCATATAATTCAGGCATAATTATTTTCATGTTGGTTTTATGAAAACTTATAGTACATTATAACTAATCATGTTCCAGAAAATGCAAATAAGATAATAGTTGAGAAGGAATAGACATCAAATGCTTCTTTAATAAACCACAGCCATTTTCTCTAAGCAGGGAAAATGCTTTAATTGAATTTCATCTTATTAGAAAGACATTATTTCCTCCAGAGTCATAAAGTATATACAAGGAAGATTAGGAATTGTGCCTGTTGGGGCTATTTTGTAAGCACCACAATCTACTGTGGTGCTACTGTGGCTAGCGTAGGTAGAAAAATGAATTTATTGAAAGATATTAGACAGCTCAGAGAACTGTTGGGTGGGCTGAGGAATAGTCTCAAGATTAGCCCCTCCGGAACCATTCCTCAGAACCACACCAAAGAACTGGCCTGAGCAGGAAGTTACCATGGCCACCACCACCCCCACATTAGCAAAAGGAATGAATCATCCCCAGTTTGTTTCTTGCTACAGTTCACCTCCACGGTTAAGTCTCACTTCCGCCTCTAACTTACAAAACCATAGTTACACATCTGCAGCTTAGCCACAAGGGAGTCTGAGAATGCAGATTTTTTTTTTTTCTTTTCAAATTACCCTTGGAAAATGGAGCTCACAATGTGGAGAAGTATCAAATGAATAGAGGGTGTTGAAGGCATGTGGAAAATTTGGTAGGCAAAATTCTAAGATCTTCCACTATCTCCACTCCCTGATGTTATACCCAAGATTAGTTATATGGCAACAGGGATTTTGTAGATGTAATTAAGGGCCCTAAATAGTTTACTTTGAGTTCATCAAAAGGGTGATTATCCTTGGTGGGCTTGACCTAACCAGGTGAACCCTTAGAAGAGAATGTGCCCTTTCTGAGAGGAGATTTGAAGCATAAGAGAATTTTCCTGCTGGTCTTAAAGACACAAAGTCCACAAGATCGACAGCTGCAGGGAAACAAATTCTGCCAATGACCCCATGAGCTTGGAAGAGGGTCCTAAGCCTCAGATAAGACCCCAGCCCCAGCTGACACCTTAATTTTAGCCTTACAGGACCCTGAACAGAGAACCTAGTTATATTCTACCCAGAATTCCAACCAACAAAGCTATGAGATAATAAGCTAAGTTTTAAGCCACTAAGCTTGTGGTAATGTGTTATGCAGCAATATAAAATTAATCCAGGCAGCTACCAATGACAGGCATCTCT